>NC_000017.11:9127474-9278989 GCF_000001405.40 Homo sapiens | reverse complement strand
AGAGGGGTATGGAAGATCAAGAGTACAGTGCTTGATGTGCAATAGACTCTCTGTAAATGCTTGCTGTAGTCACTCTGCTGCTGTCCTCATCAGATAGTGACAGAGCCAGAGTCCTCCCTTCCAGTGCCCCTTTAGCAGCTCTGGGCCCAAGTCTTAGAAGCTCCCATACTCACGGTACCCCCTGCACCCACCCTGCCCGATCTCCCTCCCCTGCTCTCCGCCTCCCCGTGATCTTTCCTCTCTCCTCTCTTCTTTGGGCTCTCAACCTGTCACCATCACTGCCACTGCCCAAGATCTCTCTTCTGAGCTCCATTATACTGCATATCCAAGAACTTTTTGATATGTCAGCTTAAATCCCTCTGCAGCATATCCAGAACGCCACCTACCCCTAGTTTTCTGTCTCAATAAATAGCATGCCATTGACCCAGTTATTCAAGGTAGAAATTTTGTTTCCTCCTCTCCTCTCACTATAGCCGCCCTTGCTTATCCAAAAAGAAGCTGTGGCATTCTAAAGTATGTTTCTATTTTTTTTTTTTTTCTGAGATGGAATTTCACTCTTGTTGCCCAGGCAGGAGTGAAATGGCGTGATCTCAGCTCATCGCAACCTCCGCCTCCCGGGTTCAAGCGATTCTCCTGTCTCAGCCTCCCGAGTAGCTGGGATTAACAGGCATGTGCTGCCGTGCCCGGCTAATTTTGTATTTTTAGTAGAGACGGGGTTTTCTCTATGTTGGTCAGGCTGGTTTCAAACTCGCGACCTCAGGTGATCCACCTGCCTCGGCCTCCCAAAGTGCTGGGATTACAGGCGTAAGCCACTGCATCCGGCCCTAAAGTATGTTTCAATCCCTCTGTCTCCACTGCCACCACCCCATTTCATGTCACCCTCTTACCCAGATGCTGGGATAGTTCTCTCAAAGAGGTCTTGTTGGCTTTACTTGGACCTGGACACCATACCCTCCGGTCCAGTCTCCACACTGTGACATAAATGACTGTCTAACCTAAAGGAGATATTGCCGCTCCCTGCTTAAACCCTTCACTTGCTTCCCTTGTACTTAGGATAAAATCCAACTCCTTACCATGGCTTCTAGGGCCCTGCAGGACTTAGCCCTGACACTCTCACCAAATTTACCTTGATTTCTCTCCTCACTGGCCAGTTCTAACCACAGTGGGTTTCTTTCCATTCCATGAATCCCTAGCTGCTCTGTGCTTCCCACTCTGCCTGGCTTTGGCTGGCATGGTCTTCACCCAGCTTTATTTACTTTTAGATCTCAACAGATCACCTCATCAGAAAGCCATATCTGACCACCCCATTAAAGTAACTGTTGTCATAACATCTTGTTTATTTCCTTCTTAATGCTTCTCTATGATTTGTAATCATTTTATTGTGTGGTTGTTTGAATGTCTGACTCCCCCATTAGCCTGTCAATTCCTCAGGCACAGGTATCATGTCTATCTTGACCCTTGTTGTATTCCCAGAACCTAACATGGTACCTGGTACAGAGTTGGGTAGAAGCAGATGGAGGCTGACTGGCTTCTGTGTATTCAGCCTAGATGCCTTCATGAGCCATTGAGACCCTGCCTTCACTCATTGAGACCCTGCCCTCACTCATTGAGACCCTGCCCTCACTAACCTTCACCCACTATCATTTCCAGCTATCCCTTCTCTTATACCTCCATCCACACCCCGTGCTCCAGAGAACTTCAGGTCCTCTCATTTGAGAAATAGCGGTAGGGACATTCTCCAGAGTGACAAGGAAGTTAACCAGAAAAGGATGTGTTCCTTACTCATTTTTAAGTCATGAAGATGTTCATCCGCATTAAACCTACTGACGCTGTAAACTCTAGATTTGAAATAGCCATGGATGTTAAAAGGTGATTCTGGCTAGGCACAGTGGTATGCACCTGTAGTCCCAGCTACTCCAGAGGCTGAGGCAGGAGGATCGTTTGAGCCCAAGAGTTCAAGGTTGTCGTGTGTTAATGATCACACTTGTGAATAGCCACTGCACTCCAGCCTGGGCAACATAGCAAGATCTCGTCTCTTTAAAAAAAGAAAAGGTGGCTGAGTGCAGTGGCTCACACCTGTAATCCCAGCACTTTGGGAGGCCGAGGCGGGCGGATCACGAGATCAGGAGTTCGAGACCAGCCTGCCCAACATAGTGAAACCCCGTCTCTACTAAAAACACAAAAAAATTAGCCGAGCGTGGTGGTGGGCACCTGTAATCCCAGCTACTCAGGAGGCTGAGGCAGGAGAATGGCTTGAATCCAGGAGGTAGAGGTTGCAGTGAGCTGAGATCGTGCCACTGCACTCCAGCCTGGGTAACAGAGCGAGACTCCATCTCAAAAACAACAACCAAAAAAAAAAAACAAACAAATAAACAAACAAAAACAAGAAAAGCTGACAAAAAACTAATTTTGTTGATGTCTTAGATATCTCAACAGTGGCCTAAAAGTTCTAATTTCGGAAGTGATGGAGATCCTTTCAGTCATCTTGCTGATGACCCAAAATTTTACAATTAGAAATGTATTCCTTGAGTCAAAATCTGTCCCTCGTTTAAAGCACATACATCTGTAGCCTGGGATATATATTAATTAAACTTTTGTTCTTTGGGACATCTTTTGGTTGGGGAAAAAATGAAACAGAATCACTCACATTTCCACAAAAAAAGATGGGGTTACTTTAAAGAAACATGTTCCCTTCGTTAGGAACCAAGGCAGACTTGGTAAGCCTGCATCACTCCTTATTTCCTAGTCCAACTTCAGAGAAAATAATCCTTATCCAGCTCAGTTGCATGTACTGGACCAAAATCACTCAGGGGCTGCTGGCCAGCCTGTGGATCGGCTGAACTTGCCCTGCATGCCCAGGGCCCTATGGCTTGATGGGTGGGATCAGGGGGTAGATAGAAACCGCAGCCACCTTGACTCACACCTCAGCCAGAGCTCTGATCTAAAAAGATCCCATTTGAAGGGGCTGTAGGCACACCATGAAGCATGACTGGAAAAGCCTTAATAATAAGATAAGTGAGTGTTTATTGAGCATTTACTGTGTCATTGACATTATTGCAGCACATTATATATACGCTACTGTTATCCCCCGCCCTTTTTTTTTTTCTTTTTTTTCTTTTTTTGAGGCAGAGTCTCACTCTGTTGACCAGGCTGGAGTGCAGTGGCACGATCTTGGCTCACTACATCCTCTGCTTCCCGGGTTCAAATGATTCTCCTGCCTCAGCCTCCCGAGTAGCTGGGATTACAGGCATGAGCCACCATGCCCGGCTAATTTTTGTATTTTTACTAGAGACGGGGTTTCTCCATGTTGGTCAGGCTGATCTCAAACTCTTGACCTCATGATCCACCCACCTTGGCCTCTCAAAGTGCTGGGATCACAGGCATGAGCCACTGCGCCCAACCTGTTATCCCCATCTTATAGGTGAGGTCCAGATGGGTTAAATGGCTGGCTCATGATCACACAGATGGGAAGTTCAGTAGCTAGACAGTCTGCTCTCCAGCAGACTTACACCTCTAAGTAAAGAGAAGTTGCTGGTGTATGTAAATAGGTAAGGGTGGGAATAGTGGAACTCCATTGACCAGGGAGAAGGCACTAAAGGAGAGACAGAGAGCAGCGATGTCTCCCTGCGTCAGTGAAGCCAGCCCTTTACTTAGAGGCGATGGGGGAAAATAGGAAGGCAGAAGAGCTCCACCTAGGAGGTAATAGACAAAGGAAAGAAGTTCCCATGGACGCTTGGAGTGAAAGTGGAAATATACCAAGGAAGGGACCCCAGAGGTCTGGGTGAACCACTCAGCCCTGGGAGGCCGGAGCTCAAGAGGATGGTTGCGTCATCAGAAGCAAAAGAAGTGGAAGTTGTAAAGAGACCCTTAACTTGAACAGTCAAGTAATGATGATTTTGTTGGTTTCTGTGACTTAGAGACATCATAAAGAAATTGTTGGGCCAGGCGCGGTGGCTCATGCCTGTAATCCCTGCACTTTGGGAGGCCAAGGCGGGCGGATTACTTGAGGTCAGGAGTCTGAGACCAGCTTGGCCAACATGGTGAAACCCCATCTCTACTAAAAATACAAAAATTAGCCAGGCATGGTGGTGCATGCCTGTAGTCCCAGCTACTTGGGAGGCTGAAGCAGGAGAATTGCTTGAACCTGGGAGGTGGAGGTTGCAGTGAGCTGAGATCACGCCACTGCACTCCAGCCTGGTGACAGAGCGAGACTCCGTCTCAAAAAAAAAAAAAAAAAAGAAAAAAGAAATTGTTGTATTTTTGAAGACTTTGTTTATTATTATTATTATTATTATTATTATTATTATTATTTTTGAGACAGAGTCTCACACTGTTGCCCAGGCTGGAGTGCAGTGGTGCAATCTCGGCTCACTGCAAGCTCTGCCTCCGGGGTTCACACCATTCTCCTGCCTTAGCCTCCCAAGTAGCTGGGACTACAGGTGCCCACCAACACGCCCGGTTAATTTTTTGTATTTTTAGTAGAGACAGGGTCTCACCGTGTTAGCCAGGATGGTCTCGATCTCCTGACCTTGTGATCCGCCCGCCTCAGCCTCCCAAAGTGCTGGGATTACAGCCTCCCAAAGTGCTGGGAGCCACCGCGCCCGGCCTGAAGACTTTGTTTAAACAAATGTCTATATCACTCGTGAATTTGGGTTTTTTGAAGACTTTTTTTTACTGCAGGAAGTTATGAACAAAGCCAAGCTGATGATCAAATCCTTTCCAGAACAGTGGTTGAGATCTAACCTCCACCCAAGCCAGCAAGCAGGTAACAGATCTGGGCAGGAAGGCATTATCTGTACCTTAAGAAGACCAAGTGAGGTTAACATGCAGAGGGGAGGGATGGCAAAGCCAGAGTAGGTGGCACATTTGACACTTTTCATAAGAAAATGACTTTCTTGTCTGACTTTTTGGTAGAAAATTCTCATGAGTAAGTACCGGTTATGGTCATTTCCCCAGAGCTAACATGAGACTGTAATGACTAAAATGTGGATTGTGATTCAGTTATTCTAATCTTATATTCAGTACCATTCAACAAGACTGGAAAAGAAGCACCCCTTTATATCCAGGAAACTGTCAGAAGGGACCACTGAGAGCAGACGGCAGAGCATGTTAGACTAGACAGCAACAGAGCCGCTGCATTGAGGCCTGCCACGCAAACACACGCCCACTCCCAAACAGCTTGGATTTCCAACGTGAGACGGGAATGCGTGGGAAATCGCCAAGGCAGAAAGGCCTCAAGCCAATTCTGCAATTAGCCAATAGCCTGTACTGGCCTCCACATTCGTTTAGATAAATTTTGAAATCATCAGCAAACTGTGGAGCTAGATTCTTTCTTTGCGAAGACAAAGTCAGACAGTGTTAACCTGCGTAGCGCCATGAGGAAAGGATGTGGGACGAGCTCTACTTCCCACCCCCGGCAGGAGCTGAATCATTCTGCAGGGACACCCCTGGCTGTGTGTGGCCTGGCGTGGTCCTCGCTGGCAGTGGGGAGAGGGGTCCCTGCTGGGGGTGGAGACTGGGTCCAGGACCTAGCAGCCCTACCTCGAGGCCCTGCTTCCAGGCTCACCCCCATCTTAGTTAAACCTGCAGAGGGGATGTTAATTAGCAAAGACTGGCGCTCAGGGAGTTGGGGGAGCTCTTAGCCCTCTCCCTTCCAAGAAAGATGACCTTTTGGACCCAAAAAGGAGAATTGGGCTCCAGTTGCTCTCGTTCGAGGCACTCGGAGTGCTTCCCACGTATCTCATTTATCCTCATGACACCCCAGAGAGGTAAGTTTGTTTGAGGTTTATACAAAGTTATGATTATGCCTATAGATTCCAGTTCCTGCCTCTATGTCATTCTAAACCTCGGGTCTCATCCCCATCTCACTTTTCCTAACATAACTAAACCCTTCGGGGAATGAAACGTCTCAGGCTTTCGCCTCGCCAAAGGGCGGTTTTCCCCCTTCCTTCTTTGTTGTTGTTAAGTTTGATTTATTGCTTCGCATTCTAGCCAGGCTCGATGGATGTTCGGAATATTATAAATAATGTGGATTGAAAAGATTGTGCTGAAATGTTTATTGCGTTCTTAGAAAGAGAACAAGGAATGGCGCGGAGAGTGTGGCAGTGGGGAAAGAGGGGCGTGAGGAAGGTGGGAAGACCCATCCTGCTCCTAGGATATTTTAGTGTGTCAATAAAAGACAGTGCTCAGAAGGGAAAGAACTTATATTGCAATCATGCTATCAAGAATGCAGAAGTGTTCCAGCGGGCGTAAAGAATATACTTCAAGAATGTAAGGACCATAAGGAACTAATCATTAGACATTCTCTGTCTCATTTCCTCACCCACGGTGTTCGAAGAAAGCCAGCAATGGAGAGGTTGTCTGTGCTTTAAAACTAGCTCGCTGGCGCGCTAGCTTCGGGGTACGCTCTGGGATGGCAGACAGCTGTGGCTAGCTGTGTGTGAGTGAGAAGGCACCCCCTTGTGACTTATTTTGCACCTTACAATCTGGAATCTTTGTTCTTCAGGTGCTCTAGAAATATAAATGTTATCCAAGGTTGGGACCCCTGATGCGGTGGAAATAAATGCCACACTGGCTCATGGGCATCCAGAGATCACATTTCAAGCTGAAATCCTACCAGCCACTCCCTGCCGGGTAGTTATCTGGTCCTTGTTCCTTCTCAGGGCATTTCCTCGGGCTTCTGTGAGGAAGAAGGCAGCGTCCTTAGTGGCCAAGGCCATCTGTGTCAGCCTGATGTGACACAGCAAAGCCCGGCAATCTGGCAGAGATCATTCTTTGAATCCCTCTCTATTCTAAGCAAGAGCGGTCATTTGGCCACCCCAGCTGCTGCTGTTGGTCCCACACACCCCCTCAGAACAGAACCGTCTTTGTCAAGAGGAAATGAGGCTGAGGGATATTGGCGTGGGTGTGGATTAGGACAGCAAGAGGGCTTTGTGTCAAACACATCCCAGCCTGCTCCACTTCTCGGGGTGCATCATCAGCAGGGACAGTCACTGGGTACCTGCTTTGCCCCCAGGACAGTGACTTTCCTTCCAGCTAGGGAGCCCTGGCCCATTATCCGTACTTATAGTCGCCAGAGAAAGCCACGGTTTCTTCTATCATGGTAACAGATGATATTTTATTGTATGGTGTGAAGAATTTCTTCAGCACCAGAGGAGTCACATGGAGGCTTGTTAAAACAGGTTTCTAGGTAGGACCCTTGAAGTTGAATTTCTTTCTTTCTTTTTTTTTTTTTTTTTTTTGAGATGGAGTCTTGCTCTATAGCCAGGCTGGAGTGCAGTGGCACAATCTTGGCTCACTGCAACCTCTGCCTCCCCAGTTCAAGTGATTCTCCTGCCTCAGCCTCCCGAGTAGCTGGGACTACAGGTGCGTGCTACCACGCCCATCTAATTTTTGTATTTTTAGTACAGATGGGGTTTCACCCTGTTGGCCAGGATGGTCTCGATCTCTTGACTTCGTGATCCACCCACTTCGGCCTCCCAAAGTGCTGGGATTACAGGCGTGAGCCACCACGCCCGGCCGCATTTCTTTCTTTTTTGAGACAGGGTCTCACTCTGTCACCCAGGCTAGAGTGCAAAGGCGCATCTCGGCTCACTGCAACGTCCGCTTCCTGGGTTCAAGCGATTCTCATCCTTCAGCCACCTGAGTAATTGGGATTACAGGCACATGCCATCACGCCCAGCTAATTTTTGTATTTTTAGTAGAGACGAAGTTTCACCATGTTGGCCAGGCTGGTCTCAAACTCATGACCTCAAGTGATCCGCCCGCTTCGGCCTCCCAAAGTTTTGGGATTACAGGCATGAGCCACTACGTCCAGCCTGAAGTTGCATTTCTAACAGTCTCTTCAGTGATCTGTGCTCCTGGTCCCACGTCACACTGTGAGTTGCCATGCTGTAAACACAAACATTTCTGTCGTTAGGTGATTTTTGGTAATGTCTTGAGAATGTCTCCCAATAGAGGGTGACAAAAAGTTACAAGGAATGAATGAAACATGAACTGAGGCGATTTGATTCAATACAAAATGGGCCCAGTTGTCTGAAATTGTGAGTCTAAAATCATCTGTGATAGGAACCCATGAGCATCTGGTAAAATCCCATCATTTCACTACAATGCAACTCTGTTCATTTAATTGCAAAGTAAATACAGAACATATTCTCCTAGAATTTTAAATTCATATCACTAATGGAGAATATATTGATTTTGAATTTAGCAATACCAACTGGACTTACTTTACTGGAATGCTTTACAGTTCTTTAAAACCACTACTCCTTGATTACCTATTCTATTGATAATTTGTATGCTTTCATTCGTTCATTTCTTCACTCATTCATTCATTTCTTTAACACATATTTACTGAGCACTTACTATGTGCCAAGTACTGTTCTAGCTGCTGGAATATTCCCATGTTAACTACCATCAAGTAAGAAAGTCCTTTGAGACTGGGCACGGTTGCTCACGCCTGTAATCCCAGCACTTTGGGAGGCCGAGGTGGGCAGATCACAAGGTCAGGAGATCAGACCATTCCTGGCTAACATGGTGAGACCCTGTCTCTACTAAAAAATACAAAAAAAAAAAATTAGCCGGGCGTGGTGGCGGGCACCTGTAGTCCCAGCTACTTGGGAGGCTGAGGGAGGAGAATGGCGTGAACCCAGGAGACGGCGGTGCTTGCAGTGAGCTGAGATCGCGCCACTGCACTCCAGCCTTGGCGACAGAGCGAGACTCCATCTCAAAAAGAAAAGAAAAAAGAAAGTCCTTTGAAATTCCTACTGCTGACTGCTCATATTCCAGGTATTAAGATATTTGAGTCTAAGCTATGAGCTGCTATCCAATCAACAAAAACATAAATATATGTTGCATATGTATTATGTGAGCTCTGTGCTAGGCACGAGAGGAGACACAGACATTGGAAACACACGGCCTGTTATTTAACCCCAAAGAATTTATGGGCCATCGGGGAAGGTAAATCATGAATCCAATTAATTGTTAGTTTAACCAAATAACATGTTAATTTCTGTACCGCATGTGTTTAGTATACAGAAGCAGCATAGAAAAGCAATCCTAGGATTACCCTGGGCATGGGGGAGGAGGTGTCCCTGAGGAGCGGGTGTTTTCAAGCTGAGGCCTAAAGCTAGTGCTGGTGTGCTGGGTGCAGAGAAGCTGGCAGAGGGCCCCAAAGCAGTGTGAACGATCCCTGCCAAGGCACAGAGGTGTGAGAGAGTGTGGCATGCTCGGAGTGGGAGGCCAAGGTGGGAAAACTGGATCATTTCGTTAGGAATGTGTCATAATTCAACTTTTTAATGTTGCTTTGAAATGACTTCTGAAATCTCTGACAGACCATGTTTAATATAAGCCAGCCAATATTGCAAAGCCAAATCTGACCTTTTGGGTTGTCTATCTTACTTTTTTCCAGAAGAGTGGATAAGCAGAAGGTGATGACATCATTTTAATATTATCCTCAAACACCTTTTATTATTTGCACTAGCAGCAGACATTGGAAGGGCAGATATTTTGTGTTCTTTGCATGGCATGTGATACACACGTCCCTGGTATAGGCTTGAACATGCTAATATGTAACCTCTGACACTCAGCTGTGGCCATCAATCTGCCTCTTTCCAGGACGGTGTCTTGAGGGTCTGTTTAAGCCCTTACGCTGGAGCGTCTTAAGGGAAAGGGAGAGGAGAAGGACGTGTACCCCAATCACCTTATCCTCAGAAGTGACGCTCCAGATGCAATCATTTCCCAGTCTTTCCACTCTGCCACAGTGACTCCTTGGGCCTCAAATACTTCTTTTTTTTTTTTTTTTTGAGACGGAGTCTTGCTCTATCGCCCAGGCTGGAGTGCAGTGGCGCAATCTCGGCTCACTGCAAGCTCTGCCTCCCGGGTTCACGCCATTCTCCTGCCTCAGCCTCCCGAGTAGCTGGGACTACAGGCGCCCGCCACCATGCCCAGCTAATTTTTTGTATTTTTAGTAGAGACGGGGTTTCACCGTTTTAGCCAGGATGGTCTCGATCTGCTGACTTCATGATCCGCCCGCCTCAGCCTCCCAAAGTGCTGGGATTACAGGCGTGAGCCACTGCACCCGGCCTGGCCTCAAATACTTCTACTGATCCTTCTTGCTGATAGAATCCATGCACAACAGCTTTTACGCCAACCATGTTCTAGAATTGATGGCTTGGGATCTTGTCCACTTGTTTTCAGTAGGCTCAGTAGTGACATTGTTGAATCTGCCCACATTGCCTGCAGGTCTGTGTCTCAGAGCTGAGTCGGGGTTGAAGAGCACCAGTTCTGGCTCTGAGTTTTTACTTAGGAATGCCAGCTGTTTGCTGCCACACTAACAGCCAACTCCGAAAATGGCAGCCTCCCTATGTGAAGGACCACTTTTAGGGATCCTCAGATAATCTGCTGTTCACAGGAGGACGTCTTTAGGGTGGTGAATTGTTTGGGGATAGTACTGAATCGGGGGGACATCACTGCGGCCTCATCCCCCAAGATGAAGGACAGGCTCTTGCACTGCAGAGTGTGAATACTCCTGTTTGCATACCATGTGCTCGGGGTCAGAGCTCTGCAGCCTGACTGCCCCTTTGCTCTTGTGTATTTCCTAGATCAAACTCTAAGCCCCGCTGCCACTTTTGGTAAGAGGCTCCTTTTCCACGATCCAGTGTAGAGCAACTTTGAAGTCTCTCTCTCTCTCTTTTTTTTTTTTTTTGTTCTTACTCCACCAATCTTCATGGTGCCCACAGGGCTCACAACTCTGAGGCTCTCGTGTTGCTCCTAGTGAAAGGTTAGCAGTTGACCAGTGTGCTGAGTTGGTTGCGCCCTAGTTCTGCCATTAAGCATCTCACTGCAGCAATATCCTTAAATTAGGGTTCCAAGGCCTAGAGAGGAGAGCATATGGGAGGGTCTGGGTAGAAGATGCATATCCCTTCCGTGAGAACAAATCTGAATGGCCTTTCATTGAAATGCTCTTAATTTAAGCTTTTTTTTTTTTTTTTTTCTTTTTAGGCAGAGTTTCACTCTTGTTCCCCAGGCTGGAGTGCAATGGCACGATCTCAGCTCACTGCAACCTCCGCCTCCCGGGTTCAAGTGATTCTCCTGCCTCAGCCTCCTGAGCAGCTGAGATTACAGGCACCCACCACCACGCCCAGCTAATTCTTTCGTATTTTTAGTAGAGATGGGATTTCACCATGTTGGCCATGCTGGTCTTGAACTCCTGACCTCAGATGATCCACCTGCCTCTGGCTCCCAAAGTGCTGGGATTACAGGCATGAGCCACTGTGCCTGGTGAATTTAAGCATTTTTATACATATAGGTATACAGGCTGTTGGAGGATTTTTTGAGTGCATAAATCTCAAAGTCTGTTTTCATGATAGAGTCTGTAGAGTGAGCTAGAGAAGGTTTTCAAGAAAAGCCTGGCAGCCATGTTTGGTTGTACTGAGAGTAGTTGCGCCCGATGGCAGGAGGCTGCTGCGTTCAGCTCAGAGGTCTCACTCGTGCTGTGGTGTCACACAACACGGGGGATATGGGCAGCATTGAGCACTGAAGGCCATCACACATGGGGAAGGGTCATAGCGCTTTCTATCCAAAGATTGGAGATCAGGAATGCCACGTTGGTAGCAAGAACAATTTCCAGCAGGTGAGACTAGTAGCTAATCTCAGTTGAGAAGGTACCATAAGCCGGGTAGTATGCTTGGCACTCAGCATTTTCTCTCTTTTTGTCTCCATGATGGCTCTGAGAGTGGAGGGTTATTATTCTCCCACTTTTCGGCATAGAGGATTGGGTCCCTTACTCAAATGACAGTGCCATGGTCTGAACACGTGCAGTCTGCCCTCGCAGCCCATGGTGTTTCAGCTCTTATGCCATACAGCTTCCAAAGAGGGAAACCCTGAACTCACACACGCGTTCACCCTTTCACACACTCTGTCATTTTGCCGCATACGTGGGAAGTGACACACAGTACTGGAAGCTAGTGGGCCAGGGAGCTTCAGACTGCGGAATGTTGACCACTTGAAAGTAGAGATGACCTTTTGAACACAGGAGAGCCCATTTTTTCTGCCCCGACAAAGGGGACAGGCTTCAGAGCCACACTGAATAACTATGACAAATGTTGTGGTTACTTGGGAAAAGACTTGGCTGAAAGCAAAAGGCCCACGTCTGGCCGCTCTCTCATCAGCCCCTTATTTTTCTTTTCTCCCACTGCCCTTAAACAGTCATATTTCTTCTGCCCTCCCCACCGTGGCCCTTGGTTATATATAGTCCATGTCACCTTGGAGGCCAGAGGAATGTGGAGATGAGTTGGGGGCCAAAGTAGCCTCCAGGATGACAGAGTGGCTCTCCACCCAGAGCACCAGAAGCGGCACTAGTGATCCCACCTTACTGGAAATGCATTTACCTGAATTCTTCTACACTCTTGGTGACATCGTGTGTCTACTATTTCATCCTACTTCCACCACCGTGACCTGGCTTCCTCTTGATTTCAGCCACCAGCTGGTGGCCAACACTTTGCAGCTCTCAGCCAGCACGGCGCTGAAGTAAAACGGCCGCTAATACAGGCAAGCGTCATCAGTTTCAGAAGCACACTTCTCATCTGGGCATAGAATAGTCCAGAAGGGCCATCTGAGGAAGAGCTGCTGTCCAGGAGGTGGCTCACTGCTTCTCACTTCAGAAAGGACCCCATGTCCTCACAGACCAAGCAGGCTCCGGTGCGCTGGCTGGGGCACCCCTGTTCTGGAAAGTGCTGGCACCCACTGCCAACTTCTTCCTCTCCAATCTCCTTTTTCTCCACTCCATAATAACACCCCTCTGTGTTTCCAGTTGTCATTACGTCACCCTTCATTCCAACCAACTTTTGTAATGTGTTATTTCTAAGCCTACATCTTATTAACGTTTAAGGATGGCAGTTTCCTGATGGCGTGTAGGAAGGCACCCTAGTCTTACCCGCAATGTTTCCAAATCCCACTCTAGGATGTCTGGTTTATGGACCATATCAGCACTCCCTCCCTGGTATCCCTAGGACTCGAGGGAAAGGGGGTGTGTGCCTTTCAGCCACCCCGTATGATAAGCAATAGGGGAAGAGGAGCTGGATTTTCTTTCTAGCACTTACCGCCTTCTAGTCCACTACATTAGTTACTGATCTGGGTTTTTGTCTGTCTTCACACACTGAAGCCCCCCTCCAGCGCCCCCAACAAACACACACTAGGACGTCAGTTTGGTGAGGGCAGAGCTTTTTGTCTGTTTGGTTCATTGTTGCAGCCCCAGTGCCTAGAACAGTGCCTGGCAGGTGCTCAGGCAACATGTGTTAAATCAAAAGCCACAACAGAGATGCAGGACACAGAGGATATCAGTGTTATTTCTGCTTTCCCAACCACGTCAGGAGTGAGGACCTTCTGTTTCATTTGTTGAGTAAACGTGTATTGAGCTGCTCAATGTGTAACGTATATAATGTATACAAAGTGGATAGCAAGTGCCTAGCGCCAGTAATGGTGCCGGGCATGGCTCTTGTTAGAAGCACTGTGGTGGCAGGGGCAATGTGCATTTGCCCGGGACCTGCCTGAGCCAGGCCCCCAGTGGGCCCATACACAGTGTGCCCAGGAAAGGAGGGATCCCCAGTGGGAAGGCTCTAAGCGACTAGCGTGCCCCATCCAGAGTGTTCTTGTTAGCTTTGTTTCAAGAGGGTGAGCTCTCCTGCCCCAATCTGGGCCCCAGAAACCTCTTGCCCTGGAACTGGAGCCCATCTCATATTCACTTTGACTCTTTAGGACATCTATAGTATTAATCAAAGATTGCTTGTAAAATAATAGGATATGTGACCGTGAAAGAGAAAAGTTTGGAATTTGGGAAGGTGACAGCTTTTTTTTTTTTTTTTTTTTCTTTTCAGACTGGGTCTTGTTCTCTCACCCAGGCTGGAGTGCAGTGGCACAATCATGGCTCACTGTAACCTCTACCTCCTGAACTCAAGTGATCCTCCCACCTTAGCCTCCTGAGTACCTGGGACCACAGGTGTGTGCCATCACACCTAGGTAATTTTATTCTTATTTTTTTTGTAGAGATGAGGTCTCCCTATGGAGCCTAGGCTGGTCTCAAACTCCTGGGCCCAAGAGATCCTCCCACCTCAGCCTCCCAAAGTACTGGGATTACAGGCGTGAGCCACTGCACCTGGCCTTTCTTTTCTCATCTTCTTTACTTTCCGAAGTTACTATGATATATGCATATTGTTTTAAATGCTTTTTCTACTTGAAAATTTAAAACCACATGAAGCATTACTAGTTCACTAGAAATGCCCAGAAAAGGATTTGCCTTCTTGTTCTTATATTACTACTGAGAATTGTTGTTTGCAGTTTGGCAGAACCTACCCATTCTGGTTATCTATTGCTGTGTTTAAAAAATCAGGCTGGGTGCAGTGGCTCATGCCTGTAATCACAGAACTTTGGGAGGTCGAGGAGGGAGGATTGCTTGAGCCCAGGAGTTTGAGACCAGCCCTGGGAACACAGGGAGACCTCATCTCTACACAAAATTTAAAAATTATCCAAGTATGGTGGCATGCACATGTGGTCCCATCTTCTCAGGAGGCTGACGTGGGGGGATCACTTGAGCTCAGAAGGTGGAGGCTACAGTGAGCCGTGACCATGCCACTGCACTCCAGCCTGGGCGACAGAGTAAGACCCTGTCTCAAAAAAGGTAAAAGATCACCCCAAATTTGGCAATGTAAAACAATTGTTTTGCTACACTTCACAATTCTGTGGGTTAGGAATTTGAAAAGGGCTCTGCTGCCTGGCTCTGGCTGAAGATTTTCATGCAGTTGTAATATAGTCAGTATAGTGGTGAAGCTGGAACCCAGTGGGGCTGGCTGGGCATCTCTTTTCTCTGTCTTCTCATGATCTCAGGGTCCTTCCATGTGGTCTCTCCATTTGGACTAATTGGGCTTCCTTGCAGCATGGCAGCCTTCTAGCAGTTGAACTACTCACATGGTGACTATCCTGAAGGAGCAAGGTGGAAGGGTGTGTAATCTTTATGACCCAGAGTCGAAAGTCACAGAGTGTCACTTCTGCCATATTCTGTTGGTGAGGTAGTCACAAAGGGCTTATCAGGTTCAAGGGGAGGGGACCCAGGTCCTACCTCTTGATGAGAGCAATGTCAAAGTCACATCATATGAAGAGTATGTGGTTTGGGAGAGAGAAATGCCGTCAGAAAATACAATTAGCGAGACTATCAAAATAAAAAATGCACATACTCTTTGCCCCAGGATTCCATATGTAGGAATCTATCCTACAGAAATTCGTGTACACGTGCACAAAGGTTTATGTTCAAAGATGTTTACTGCAGCATTCCTTTTCATAGCAAAAATTTTGAAATAACCTCAAAGTCTAGTAACAGGGTATCTTTTGAACAAATTAAGGTATAAAATAGTCTGCAGCCACTAAAAAGATTAAAGGTAGGTCTCTGTGAAAGACATTTAAGACAAATTAAGTGAAAAAAGCTAGTCATTAGATACTACTTATATTAGAATTCCATATGAGACGGAGTTTCATTCTTGTTACCCAGGCTGGAGTGCAATGGCGCGATCTCGGCTCACTGCAACCTCCGCCTCCCAGGTTCAAGCGATCTCCTGCCTCAGCCTCCCAAGTAGCTGGGATTACAGGCATGTGCCACCATGCCCGGCTAATTTTTTTGTATTTTTAGTAGAGGATGGGGTTTCTCCATTTTGGTCAGGCTGGTCTCGAACTCCCGACCTCAGGTAATCCACCCTCCTCAGCCTCCCAAAGTGCTGGGATTACAGGTGTGAGCCACCGCACGCACCCGTCCCTTTTTGCTTATTTTTTAGAGACAGGATCTCACTCTGTCACCCAGGCTGGAGTGCAGTCAACAGATATTTCTGTTGGGACTTTAGCCCCTTCAGAGTAAGGAGATGCAACCCAGACGGGGTGTCCTCAGAGGCAACATCTTGGGACTATCCTTTCAAGACTAAAGTAGTAAAGCAAAAGCATGCTAATATGACTTTTATGTTTTTCCAATTAACTAGACACAACTGGTGATTTTTGCTGATCACTCTGCTAAAAGATCTTGGTTGCAAATAAGCAGAGATGACTTTGGCTCGTTTAGGTTAAAAAACATGTAATTTGTGGCCGAGCGTGGTGGCTCATGCCTGTATCCTACCACTTTGGGAGGCAGGTGGATCACAAGATCTGGAGATCAAGACCATCCTGGCCAACATGGTGAAACCCTGTGTCTACTAAAAATACAAAAATTAGCCGGGCATGTTGGCACGCACCTGTAGTCCCAGCTACTCGGGAGGCTGAGGCAGGAGAATTGCTTGAACCTGGGAGGCGGAGGCTGCAGTGAGCCGAGATCTCGCCACTGCACTCTAGCCTGGCGACAGAGCAAGACTCTGTCTCAAAAAAAACAAAAAAACAAAACAAAACAAAAAAAACAAAAAACACCAAAAAACAAAGAAACAAAAAACATGTAATTTATTTGAGTGATGTTGAGTTATTTGCAGGAACCCGAGGGATGATTGAGCCAACCAAGTATAAAGACAAGTCTGAGCAAAGGCAGGGCCTGGGACCTCCCGAGCTAAGTTTGTGGCCCACCCCTCGAGTGTTACCATTACTGTGACTGAACCCCAATTGTGCTCAGTTCAAAATCCAAAATCCCTGGAGAAGAGAACCTTGTTGGCCTCACTTGAGGTCTGTTGCATCAGCTGTGCGTATGGAGGCAGGGTTAAGTTGAACAGACACGGCTACTGGGCCACCCCAGGAATATGTTGTTTCGATGTATGGAACGCAGGGCTCAATTCAGATCTACCCCATAGTCTTTTGCGTGTTGGTCAAATGATTTCCTTTTAACAAATGAGATAAGCATTTGGTGTATTGACAAAGCCTTATGGTAGCAGCGATGCCTCTCTGCCCTGCCTTTGTAGAACTTTGGTAGTAATACCCTGGTGTCGCCCTGCCAGGTGTCCCTAATTGGTGCCAGGTAAAGTATCCAAATAGGACAAACGGAGGGGTTTGTAATGCCGAATCCACAGCCTGACTGGAACCTTGCAGGAATCTTCCGACAGTCAAGAGGGAATTGTCAAAACAAGATATCCGTAACAGAGTTCCTGACTGTCTTTTCAAAGACACTTGAATTTCTGCCAGACTCCAGACAGATTCACATTCCCAGGGGTAACACACAGCACAATGAAGGGATATTTCTTAGCAAATATTGACGTGCCAGAGAATTGGCATTAAATTATTGGCTTGACAACTCCTAACCTGCTGCTCTTGGTGGCTGATATGAAGGATTATCTATTTACAATTGAATTCTGCCCTTGACTTGTGGCAGTTGCTGAGCTGAGCTTATTTCAGGGAAGGGAAATGAATAACACCTTAAGAACACAGATGGGGCCTACAAACTATTCAGCACTTTCTGTGCAGGAAGCGACAATAGCGGCAGAGTTTTTACACACTCCCTCTAAGGAACGGCTATCATCTGCAGAGTTTCGTGTTTGTGTTGGGCGTGGGTAGAGATAGGGTTGATTTTTCTGCCTTTCTCATGAGACCCGCAGACCCAGGAAGAGCCAGGTATACGTCTTTGCACCCATTGGACCCGACACACAGTAGGCACTCAACAGATAAGAGATCAGTTCTAGTGTGGGTGAGTCTAAGTCTCTTGGGTAAATCTTACCAGGGCAGTGCTGCTATTCAGCACTGGGACAGCCTCACCAGCCACTCTGACCTGACTCGCCCTGGCCGGGCCGTGAGGTCTCACATGCGGTCTCCACTGACCAAGCGGCGGCCTCACCAGAGTCCTGTGGCCGTGACTGCTGCTCCACGGCCACCTGACGCCCAGCCAGGTGCTCATGCCTGGATCCTAGACCCCAGATCCCAGGAACCTGCCTTTCACTAGGCTGCCGTCCAGCTCTCTGCCCCGTCACCTGCAGTCTTCATTCCTTTTAATTTCCTGCTTCTAGACCAGTCCTTTTTTTCTCTCATCCCAACCCCCACCCCTTCCAGGCCACCTTCTCCTGATTCTCTTGCTCCCTCTGGCCCCCAGATGTCTCTCTTCACACCGTTCTCTTTTCCGACAGTTGCTGCCTTCTTTCCAGTTGATTCTTTCCACGTTTCTGTGTTCCTGCAGAGCAGTGCCTCATCAGCCCGGTGCTGGGCACCAGCTCAGGCTGGGAGTGAATTCTCTCCAGGTAGGGGCCTGGCCTTCTGGGGAGAGGGCTGAGTTTCCAGGGTGAGGAGGGTGCCAGGTGCCTCTCTCTTCCCAGTGTTGCCTCAGCACAAACCCACCCAGGCACATGGGGGACACTGGCCTGGCCACTCTAAAGAGCCACCCCAAAAGACCACAGTTGTTTGTTTGTTTGTTTGTTTGTTTGTTTTTCTGAGACGGAGTCTCACTCTGTTGCCCAGGCTAGAGTGCAGTGGCACGATCTCGGCTCACTGCAACCTCCGCCTCCCGAGTTGAAGCAATTTTCCTGCCTCAGCCTCCTGAGTAGGTGGGATTACAGGCGTGCACCACCACGCCTGGCTAATTTTTGTATTTTTAGTAGAGACAGGGTTTCACCATGTTGGCCCGGCTGGTCTCAAACTCCCGGCCTCAGGGGATCCGCCCGCCTTGGCCTCCCAAATTGCTGGGATTACAGGTGTGAGCCACCGCGCCCGGCCTTCTTGACTTTTCTTTTAAGAGACAGGGTCTCACTCTGTCACCCAGGCTGAGGTGCAGTGGTGCAATCACAGCTCACTGCAGCCTCGAACTCCTGGGCTCCAGCAGTCCTCCCACCACAGCCTCCCGAGTAGCTGGGATTACAGCCACACATCACCACAGCCAGCTAATTTAAAAATACTCTTTGTAGAGGTGGGATCTCGCATTGTTGCCCAGGCTTTATTCTTGACTTCTGTTCTTGTGACACTACTACTATTAATATTATTCTTTTTCTTTTTTAAAATTTAAATTAGAGACAGGTTTCCACCATGTTGCCCGGGCTAGTCTTGAACTCCTGGGCTCATGCAATCCACCCGCCGTGACCTCCCAAAGTGCTGGGATTACAGGCGTTAGCCACCATGCCCGGACACTATGACTATTATTTTCATCGTCATTATTATTATTGTTATTTATGCAGCATGGCCAGACGCACAGGCTCCCCTAGGGGCCCCTGGGTTCCTCTCCACCTTTTCTCCCGCGTAGCTGAATGTGTTATAAAGTCGGGTGCTCCTTGTGGTTTGCTTTAACCTTCTCCTCCTCCTGCCTGTGACCCCGTCCTGTGACCCCTGCTCTGACCTCCACTTCCTCACTGGCTTTTAAAAAGTCTGGGCCTTTCACAGTTCCTCTCACCTGGTGTCCACTTGGCTGTGTTCTGCCTGCCTGCTGACCGCCGCCAGCATTCCGCCCAGCACAGCTGCCCTTCCTGTAGCTAATAACTGACACAGAGGCTGCCAGACATTCCACCCTGAACTTCCAACCTTTCCCGGACGCCCTCATCACCGCCGGGCCTCGGAGAGAATTGCTCCCTCTGTTTCTACACTAAATGCCACCCAGGTGTTCCTCTGTTTTTGCTACTCTTCCTTCTCTTTTGGAGAGAGTGACATTTGATTTCTGTTGTTAAGCTGAGAGACTGGCTCTGTTGCAGGACATTTACGGAGCACCTGCGACCACTAGGCACCCGTTTCAGGCAGGGTGTAATTATTACGAGGAGTAATAATTATTGTTGGGAGAGTTACCATTTATTGAGTGCCAGTTATGTTCTAGAAGTTTCATGTACTGTATCTTCCGAAATCCTCACAACAAGCCTGTGAAGTCAGGATTTTTCAGTCTTGTTTCAGAGATGGTAGAACTGAGCTCCAGAGTTAAACTTTCCCAACGTGTCATAGTATACCAGTGGCAGATTAGAAGTCAGGTCTTCTTGACTGTAAAATCAGTACCCCTTCCACCGCACCAGACTGCATTGATCTGTTTTTGGAGATTCTATGGCCTGAGGAAGGAATTATTAATAAAAAAAGAACCAAAGGTGGAAGGGAGTCATTTAAGAGCAATGGCCTTGCTGCAGATACCCTCGGATTCCAGGACAAGCTGGCTGTGTACGGGCTGAGCAGTCTTCATGGAGGACATGAAATACAGAGGATGAGCCTTCAAGGCTTCGGCCCTGCCCTGGGGCGGGTGGAAAATGGGCTGAGGCTACACTCAGAGGGGAGCGGGCAGAGACTCCATTGATGAGTCAGATGCAACCCCCTGGAGCCACAGAGGAAGCCTGGCCCACAATACAGAGAAAGAAAAACCTGCAGAGTTGAGTTGGATGCCAGGCTAAGAACAAAACAAACTCAGAAAACCAGAGATGACTTTTGCCCAGTGTTTTAATGAAAGCATTATTCGGCGGAAATTAAAATGTAGAACTGTGGGGTAAGATAGATTCAAGAGGGGTGTGATCAGAGGCAGGTAGGTCCTCCTCTCCACACCCCCAGTGCCTGGTTTCCCCTGGCGCAGCTGAGCAGCGGCTGTAGGAAGGCTGCTAGTGTCACACTCTGGGTCCCCCAGCAGAGCACACACAGCCCCTGGAGTGGGCAGGTCTGGGCAGAGACCTCAAGCATAGCCACCATTCTCCAGCCTCTCAATCTGGAAATCAGAATGTAAATACGCTCACCTTCTCTGCACGGCGTCTACTCTTTTCTTCGTGTATTTGCCCAGTCGTGGGATTAAAGGGAACATTTACATGAACTTTTGAAGATAAATATTCCAGTTTTGTCTCTTCTCCTGCTTATTCCCCACCTCAGCTCAGGAGTCTGCCGTGAAAAGTCTGTTTGAACAGTGAGACTGATCACTGGTTAATACATAAGCAAATGTCACCTATTGACAGGCACAACTGCCAAAAAAATAAAACAAACTTTAGGAATTGTCCCTAAGAAGTGTCCTCTGTTCATCTTTAAGTTTAGTAGCTACGTGTGGGTTGCCAGTTGGCCTAACTCTTCTGGTGTGAAAAGCGAGGCAAACAAAAAGAATATGCTTTTTTTGTTTTTGTTTTTGTTTTAAACAAAATCTCGCTCTGTCACCCAGGTTGGAGTGCAGTGGCGCAATCTCAGCTCACCGCAACCTCCTCCTCCCGGGTTCAAGTGATTCTCCAGCCTCAGCCTCCCAAGTAGCTGGGATTACAGGCACCTGCCATCACGCCCGGCTAATTTTTGCATTTTTTAGTAGAGACGGGGTTTGGCCATGCTGGCCAGGCTGGTCTCAATCTCCTGACCTCAGGTGATCCACTCGCCTTGGCCTCCCAAAGTGCTGGGGTTACAGGCATAAGTCACCACGCCTGGCCAGAATATGTGTTTTGGTTCAAGACAACCAAAATAGTAGTAGGCAGCTAAGGCGGCTTTCCTTGCAACAAAACCAGATAAAAAGACTCCTGGATAAAGCGCCCTTCACCCCTCCCTGCCTCTTGCTTTCCCATCAGCCTACTTGCCACGTTCCCCTGCAGCTACAGGGCAGAAGTGGCCAACACAGAGATCCACACTCTCTCGAAAAGTCAGCCTCCAGATTCTTTCTCCTCCTTCCCCTCCTCCTCCATGTCAGTAAGCACTGAGAGCTGTTACCTACACCCAACTTGTGGCAGGGGCGTTGGCAGCACAAGCTCCGTATTTTGCTCGTTTCCAGTGTTTCACTGGAAAAAAGTATGGACCATGACTCCAGATGACGAGTCTTCAGAAAACACCATTCCTGAGAGACTGTGTTTAATATCCTCTCCCAGTTTGAAAAGGAGTTTGTTTTCTTACATCTTTTTTTAATTGCCATGAGCTGGACTTGTAAATATTGTAAGTGGTTGAGTAATACTCATCTGGTAAACTGACCAAAGGAAATGGACATTTTTTTCCACTCTTGTAACCCTGGCATCCCATGCCTGCCCCTGAAAGGGACTCTTGAGTATTGGAAGGGAAAATCTGCCTCGCCAGGTGCCAGCGGGCCCAGGGCAGGAGCTGAGTGAAGCGCAGAGAAACGATCCCGAAGTCAGGAGCCGCAGCAGGTGTTCTGTGCTAGGGTTGGGGGCAGAGAGCATTCATTGTTTAAGAAGTTGGCAGCCTCCCAGAAGTTCAACTGTCTTTCCTTGTTCTGAAATGTCAAACATTTCCTTAGCTGGGGGAATGGATGAGTAGACCCCCCTGAGGTTTAAGAACTATTCTGAGGCAGAAGAAGGAAGTTCTGCTTTTCACACGTGACCGAGTACGATGTGAGGTCCCATGTCCCTCCGGCAGGGGGGTCGGCTGCGCCCCTGAAACTGGAGCCACCTTCCTACATCAGAAGAGTTGCCAGCTCTTCCCTGCCTCTGCCTTTAGGAACCGTCAGACCCTCTGTGGTTATGTGGGTAGTGGGGGAGTGTGTGTGTCTTTTTAATGGTGCCTTTTAGTGATACTTACTGAAATATTTGTAGATGACCTATGTCTGGAATTTGTTTCAAAATAATATGCAGGAGACAGGGAGCAGGTGAGGGTTTGCATAAAGCCAGACAGGCCATGAATGGATCCTTGCGAAAGCTGACGGATGGGCTCATCACTGTTCTGCGTGCCCTTCGGTCTGCTTTTGTATATGTTTAAAATTTTCCATCATAAAACGTTAAGGAAGGGAAGGAGGGAGGGAGAAAGAGAAGAGGATGAAAAGAGAAGAAACTCTTGATCCCGGTGTTTCAACCCCAGTGAGTCTGAGCCTCTCTCCCCGAGGGACCCCCACACTGTCTCGAATCAGGATGCCTCCACTCAAGCTCCACTGGTGTAGACAAGGGTGAGCGTGTGGGCAGAGGGGTCCTACCCACCTGGATTCCAATTCTAGTTCTTCCTCTTACCCGCCAGAGGGCCTTAGGTAGGAGAGTTCACCTTCCAGAACCCCAGCTTCCTCAGATATAAAACAGAGATGAGGGTTACTTACTGTGCAGAATTAAACCAAGTAATACACCCATAGCACTTAGTGCCAAACCTGGCACGCATGACTGTTTCATGAACGGTGTGGCTCAGCTTTCCCTGGCTTCAAAAAGATCCCTGCTTACTCATTCCGAAACATCCTTCAGAGGAGAGAAACTCCATTCAGAAAGGTGCCAGAGCTGGGATCACATTCGAAGAAAGCCAAACTTCTTAAAGAAAAAGGATTGCCGTGCTAAGGTAGATAAACACCTTCTCTTTGACCCAAAGAATCCAAAAGACAGCAGTTGGCTTTTGCTTATCGCTGTCACCTGCCATCTTAAAACGACCTCCTCAGTTGACCCTCAGTATATACCAGTTTACTTAAGCCTGTTTAAAGTCTCCCCCTGTTTGCTCTGAAAGGGTTTAAAATATAAAAGCCTTATTTGTCATGGCTCCTAAAATCCTCCTTTTCATCTTGGGACAAGAACCCAGTTTATCACATCTTATCAGCTTACTGTCCAAGATGTCCATCACTCAAGTTCATTTTCATTTATTTATTTATTTATTTATTTATTTATATATTTATTTATTTATTTATTTATTTATTTTGAGATGGAGTCTTGCTCTGTTGCCCAGGCTGGAGTGCAGTGGCACAATCTCAGTTCACCACAACCTCCGCCTCCCGAGTTCAAGTGATTCTCCTGCCTCAGCCTCCCAAGTAGCTGGGACTACAAGCGTGCACCACCATGCCCGGTTAATTTTTGTATTTTTAGTAGAGACGTGGTTTCTCTGTGTTGGCCAGGCTGGTCTCAAACTCCTGACCTCAGATGATCCGCCCGCCTTGGCCTCCCAAAGTGCTGGGATTACAGGCGTGAGCCACAGCGCCTGGCCCATTTTCATTTTTTATAGATAATGTGTGCCCTGTCATGCCTTTCCTGGGGCACAGTTTGTCTAATTCACAGCATCTGTGGTAGAAAAATTAGCAGCTTAGCCACCACTGTATTAATAATAGTTCCACTAGACCCACCCACCATGCGCTAAAACTGTACTATGAAAGGTCTCTGCAGCTCTTCTGTGGAAGAGCATTCTTCTATCTTGTCTCTGTAGTATTGTGGGTTGGCATTGGCCACTTTTTGAATTTTCTTACTCATTGGCCTTCTTGCCACATTTTCTCAGCTTCTCCCTCTCTGCTGACCACTCCTTCTATGCCTCTCTTGACTCTTCTTATCCCTTCCAAAAATTCAATACATTTACTCATTTGTTTTATACACACACACACACATGCACACACGTGCGCGTGTGTGTGTGCCTCTTTCCTGTGCCAGGCTCTGTTCTAGGTACGGGGGATATGGCGGTGAACGAGAACCCACAGTCCCTGGTGTAGATGTTCATGTGTCCAGGAGAGACAGACAGTAACTGAGTACCTAAATAATGATTCAAGGCCGGGCGCGGTGGCTCACGCCTGTAATCCCAGCACTTTGGGAGGCCCAGGAGGGCAAATCACTTGAGGTCAGGAGTTCGAGACCAGCCTGGCCAACATGGTGAAACCCTGTCTCTACTAAAAATACAAAAATTAGCCGGGCATAGTGGTGGGCACCTGTAATCCCCGCTACTTGGGAGGCTAAAGCAGGAGAATTGCTTGAACCCAGGAGGCGGAGGCTGCAGTGAGCCAAGATCACGTCACCGCACTCTAGCCTGGGCGCGAGACTCCATCTCAAAAAAAAAAAAGATTTAATAAGAGTTACCATGGAAACTTAGGGGGGCAAAGAGGGCACAGGTAACTGGAGGATGACAAAGAGTTCTTTGGGAAAATGCCACTGAGTTTGAGGGATTAACTAGACCACGAGTGGGGAGCTCCCGGATGGAAAGGATAGCGCGTGTCGAAGCTGGGAGGCAGGGCCCCTACCTTCTGCATCAGCCTGTTGGGGGCACCGGAGACAGCCAGGATGGCTCAAACACAGCGCGCAGAGTGCGGCTGCAGGGTTGCTGGGTCAGACTGTGCAAGACCCCCTTGGCCACTGTAAAGTTTGGATCTCAGTTTCAGCCACTGGAGGATTTAAGCAAGGAGGTGACCTGATCTCCTTTACATTCTGAAAAGCTTGCTGTAGTTCCATCGTGGAGCAGGGACCGGGGAAAGCAGTCCCTCACTGCAGGGAGCCAAATCAGGGATGGCAGTGACTGCGCATGCCTTGAGGCCTCTTCCCTTGGACCTCACGCTCCGGGTGTATGAACCAAAACCAGATGTGTGTTTTCTTCTTCCCAATCAGTTGTTGTTCTTGATTTCTTTGTTCTTGTCACTTGCTCCGCTCTTCTCATAATCACCCTGATTTGACAATTCACGGTCATTCATACTGGCCTCTGCTCCAGGCCATCAGAGCCTCAGTGTGGAGCCTGCCTTGATGCATGGAGCTTCTGGGCCCAAGTGTCCTCCCAACTGTGATCCCACTGGAGCTTCAGGAGCAGTACCTCTTCCTAAAACACCTCTCATCCTCTCCCTCATCTCCTCAGCTGCCAGCCCCTCCCTGTCATCTTAGGGTGAGCCCAGGCCCTGGAGTGCCAGGGATTGCCCCTTCGCCCCATCCCAGCCTGTGCCTGCCTCCTCATTCTCGTTATCTTCTCCTCATGTTGCGCAACATAAACCTTCACCCAGCCAGGACCAAGTCTTCAGCTGATCACCACACAGGCACCAGAATAACCAAGAACTAGTGAAGCTCCTGCCCAGGGGAGCTTTTGGTCAACCTGAAGATGTTTCTGGAGCAGAAATCAGTGAAAAGATTTGTTCTTCTGCTTCTGGCAAGAAGATGGACTAAGATATTCTCACATACACACACATACGCATACACACACACACCCGTATCCCTACCTTCTCACTGCAGATGGACTAAGATATTCACACACACACACACACACACACACACACACACACACCCCTACCCCTGCCTTCTTGCTGCAAGCATCTTGAAATGTGAGGTAAAATAGTGTAACTCCACCCACCCACAAATGTTAATGCAGGGCTGAATTTACAAGGAAGAAAGGAAATCCCTAGATGAAAGAAATGAAGAGCGCATTGAAGGCCAGCGCCTAAGTGGGCGAACTGATGCTGCAGGTGGGTCATCATCATGATGATGGAGAGCAGGAGCTAGCAAGCCTCTGGAAGAGGCCAGGTCGTAAACGGTTTAGGCTGTGCAGACCACAGACGGTGTCACATCTCCTCCTTTTACCTTTTTGACAACCCTCTACAAATATAAAAACCATTGTTAGCTCATGGGTTGCACAAAAACAGAGCACAGCTAGATTTGGCCCATGAACCAAAGTTGGCAGAGCCTTGAGGTAGACTAGGATGAGGTTTTCATCTACAGGAAGACGGGGGAGAAACCTTGGGGCCCCAAGAGAAGCGTTTCTCAAAAGATTGGATCATCAGAGAAAGAGCCCATATCAGAAAAATGCAACCACAGTCACAGGTAGATGACAAAGAAGCTTGCCCTAGTTTTTTTTTTTATTTTCGTTTTCTTTTTTTTTTTTTTTTGAGACAGAGTTTCACTGTTGTTGCACAGGCTGTATTGCAGTGGTGTGATCTCAGCTCACTGCAACCTCCGCCTCCCGTGTTCAAACGATTCTCTTGCCTTAGCCTCCCAAGTAGCTGGGATTACAGGCACCCACCACCACACCTGGCTAATATTTTTTTTTTTTTTGAGACAGAGTCTTGCTCTGTTGCCCAGTTTGGAGTGCAGTGGCGCAATCTCGGCTCACTGCAAGCTCCGCCTCCCGGGTTCACGCCATTCTCCTGCCTCAGCCTCCCAAGTAGGTGGGACTACAGGCGCCTGCCACCACGCCAGGCTAATTTTTTGTACTTTTAGTAGAGATGGGGTTTCACCATGTTAGCCAGGATGGTCTCGATCTCCTGACCTCATGGTCCGCCCGCCTCGGCCTCCCAAAGTGCTGGGATTACAGGCGTGAGCCACTGCGCCCGGCCAATTTTTTAAATATATTTTTAGTAGAGACGGGGTTTCACCATGTTAGCCAGGCTGGTCTCGAACTCCTGACCTCAGATGATCTGCCCGCCTCGGCCTCCCAAAGTGCTGGGATTACAGGCATGAGGCACCGTGCCCGGCCTATTTTTTTAAATATATTTTTAATAGAGATGGGGTTTCACCATGTTGGTCAGGCTGGTCTCGAACTCCTGACCTCAGATGATCCGCCCGCCTTGGCCTCCCAAAGTGCTGGGATTACAGGTGTGAGCCACTGCACCCAGCCACTTGCCATACATTTTTAAGTCTCTTCAATATTCAAAACCATGGTGCAGTGCCCACATGGGTTGAGCTTAAGATTGGTATGGCCTGATCCACATTGAACCCTGAGGATCTGTGGAGGGGATTCGGGAAGCCCGTGAACTTGGACCGGAAAGCAAATTGGACTCTTATGTTCACAAATGTCTAATTGAAATTTAGCATTTTCTTTGCTCACGAACATATGCCACAGACTACCGTGGCGTTCAGCAGTCCTGATGGCTGTGCAACCATGTGACCCTGCACACGTGGCTCTCCCTGTTACTTTCTGAAGCATTTTCATGGACCTCTCCTCCTCTGCTACCCACCTCTCTCGTGGGGCCTTGGCAGCTCAAGGACTCTTCAGTGAGCAAACCTTTCTTGAGTGCTTACTTTGTAGTAGGGCGCCCCTTCTCTGTTATGCTATACCTTGTCGCCGCTGGTACCTGGCACGTGGTAAACACTCGTTAAATACTGGGCAAGCGAACATGGGAGACAGTGAGCTCATTGCACTAAGTGAGGGCTGCATTCTGTGGGGCCCACTTCATCAGCATCAGGTGAAGGAACAGGCAATGGTCAGTGCAGACACACGACCCAGAGGAGGCAGGGCGGGGCTGGAAGGCAGAGTGGCACCCAGCATGGGCTGGCTAGGAGGGCCTGTGCTCTCCAGCCAAAAACGTCAGGAAATGAAACTAGCAAATACTAGCAGAAAAAGTATATATCAAAACAAGCACCTCTATCGGTGAATATTTTTACAAATGGGTGACTTAAGGATCTTGGACTCAAGAACACAAAGTGAAGCCATGTGGAGAATGGAGAAATGGGTTCTAGAATGCTCTCCTAAGCCCTTTGCTTTATCAATGCGTCATCAATGCATAATCTGATTGGGTAGTGAGGGTGGCTGTCGTCAGCAGCTTGCGCCCTCCCTTGTGGTCCAAGGTGTACACAGATGCTAGAGTTAGGGGCCTCACCCCCTCCTGGCTTGAGTGCTGCCTGGGGGGGCCTGGCCACACCCAGGCCCCTGCCTTCTGCACTCAGCATCCTGCAAAGCCAGAGCTGTGTAGCAGCAGCGGCGCCCCAGGCCACCGACCACCTCTCTCCACTTCGTACAAACTGAAGGCTCAGAGGGAACTACATCCCTCTGAGTCTCTGCAGACACTCAGAATGTGTGATGCTTTTCTGGTAGGAATCATTAAAAGTAGTATTTTCTGCTGCTTTTTTCCAGGGATGATCATGGTGATTTTACTGCTGCTTGTGGCTATCGTGGTTGTTGCAGTCTGGCCGACCAACTGATGGCAGTAAAGAGACCACCAGCAGTGACACCTGCCAATGACAGATGCAAGCCCAACACCCTTTTGGTACGCAAAACCTGCTCTCAATAAATTCCCCCAAAGCTCTGACCTCTTGTGCATTGCTTCAGTAAAGACTTAAAGCTCCGGCCGGGCGCGGTGGCTCACGCCTGTAATCCCAGCACTTTGGGAGGCCACGGCGGGCGGATCACCTGAGGTCGGGAGTTCAAGACCAGCCTGACCAACACGGAGAAACCCCGTCTCTACTAAAAATACAAAAAAAAGTAGCTGGGCATGGTGGCGGGTGCCTGTAATTGCAGCTACTCAGGAGGGTGAGGCAGGAGAATTGCTTGAACCCAGGAGACGGAGGTTGCAGTGAGCCAAGATTGTGCCACTGCACTCCAGCCTGGGTACCAGAGCAAGACTCCGTCTCAAAGAAAAAAAAAACAAAAAAACAAAGACTCAGAGCTCTGGAGAGCTGCCTAGAGCACTGGGCCCAGTTGTGGCCCTTTGAGTTTTGACTTTGGTCATTTTCGTGCTGGCCGGAGGTCCCTCGGGGTCCCCTACCTCATGGTGGCCAGTGGGTTCTGGCCACCCCGCAGTACTCTGGGCATCCTGGGGACACTGGATTAATAGGCAGTTTGAAACCTTGACGTCTGGCCTGCTTGTGGAAGCCACATGTCTGTGTAGGAAATGGGTGTATATTCAAGGCCACGTGTGTCCAGGTAGCGGGGAAGGAGTGAGGTGAGGGCTGTGCGGAGGAGCCACACAGGCCTGTGTCTGAGTGTGTAACCACCACCGTGCTGCTCTGCCCCACCCGAGTCACCCCGCCAGGCTCAGCACTCCTCCTAGGGGTGCCAGCCTCCACTTCACAAAAATATTCCTGTGGGAACTGCTATTAGCCCTGGAAGCGCATTCTTTTTCATCTCCTTGGTGACAATCAACTCTCATCTTTCAGGGCTGACACATCTTTATAAGCAGCCAGAATCAAGTCTGTGGAATAAGGCAGGTGGGGCAGGAGGTGGTCGGGCTGGAAAGCACTGTGGAGGGTTCAGAGGGATGAGATTACCGTGGCGCCTCACCTGGCTCCGACAGAGCCCTGTGTGTTGAGTGTGCGCAGCGCATGTGTACGTGTGTGTGTCTCAGAAAGGGCAGACGGATGGGGCAGGCCTGCGGAGGACGCCAGGCCCATGGATGGCTGAGTTCGTGTTAGCAGGGGTCAGGGGGCCAAGCACCATGTGCTCTCTCTTATACGTGTGGAAAGCAGGCTAGGCCAGCTGGCCTTGCTCTGCCCTCCAGGACGAAAGGGGAAAGAATTAGGGTTGATGATGGGTGATTTCCAAAGCACAAGATTTCACTGAGAAGAAGGTAGGGGATTCACAGCAGGTGAGTTTCTGGTGGATTTGCTCAAGAGGGCATGACCTGAAACCCCCTGTGGACAGAGACACCAGAGAGAGAGCCACGTGTAGCCTGGTGTAATGTCATTTCCTAGGGACTGAGGGCTCCAGGGGTCCCGGGAAGACCTGGGGTCTAGGAGCCCAGACACCTGCCCAGCTCTGACCCAGGCAGATGGGAAAGCCACCATGGTCTCTCTGGCAAAGGACAAGGGAGCTCTGGAAGCTCTCACGCCAGCAGTGACACGTGCAGCCCAGAAGCACACCCATTGCCTCTGCTCACAGCTCACTGGCCAGAGCTCATCACCTGGCCTGCTTCACCACGAGGGGACCAGGAAGTGTCTGGAAGGCCAAGAGCCTGAAATATGCAGTGAACGGCCCTAATGACAGCCACACCACTTACCAGCTCAGAGACCGTGGGCAAGTTACCTTCCTCTGCCTCTGCTCCCTTGTCTAGGGCGTGGAGATGAGGTGTCCTTCCTATTCACAGGGTTGCTGCGAGGACAGAGTGAGTTGGCACACACAAGCACAGAGCGCCCTGCTTGGCTCCGCTGAAAGAAAGTTCCTTCTGGCTGAGGTGGGCAGATCACCTGAGGTCAGGCATTCAAGACCAGCCTGACCAATGTGGAGAAACCCCGTCTCTACTAAAAATACAAAATTAGCTGGGCATGGTGGCGCATGCCTGTAATCTTAGCTACTCAGGAGGCTGAGGCAGGAGAATCGCTTGAACCCAGGAGGCGGAGGTTGCGGCGAGCCGAGGTCGCACCATTGCGCTCCAGCCTGGGCAACAAGAGCAAAACTCCGTCTCAAAGAAAAAAAGAAGTTTATTCCCCAACCCAAGTCTAGGCCCAGTGGGCCAGATGCCTCCAAGTCCACATCTTGGGGATCCTGTCCCATGCTTCCACCTAGTGCAATAGGACAGACTGTTGTGAGGATGTGAGCGTGAACCAGGGCCCAGGACAAGGGCTCTCCTGTCTCTATGGAGCCTGATCCCTGCTTCCAGAGAAGCTGCCAACACATGCAGACCCAGGCTAGCCTTGGGATGTCGAGGCCCTTGAAGCAGAGTTAGAAGAATGAAACGGGCTGCGTCGAGACAGGAGGTGCAAAGGGCTGAGAGGATGAGGAGCAGGGGCAGCAGTGAGGATGAGCCATACTGCCGAGGACCTGGATTGTCACAGGAAGGAGAAGGAAAGGAAGCGGGCTTGTTGTAGGTGCGTGTGTTCCTGAAGGAGAGGAGCCACGCTGGACAGGGGACCAAGGGCTTTCTGGTAAGGCGCCCTGGGATGCGCCTCCTCGTCGGGGTGGGGTGGTTGCTAACGGATCATCCAACGGACGATCAAGAATCTGCAGAGCCTCATCTTCCAGTCTTGTGCGAAACCCCAAATCTCTACAAACAGTGTCTCCTTGGAGGGAGCCCCCCACTTTGGGGCTCGGGGGAGGCGGCATTGACAGTCTGTTTGACTTTCTCACCTCCTCTCGACTTGCTCAGCACGGAGCCCCGGCAACTCGTGGGGCGTCTTTGAACCAGAGCCACGGAGTCCTGGCTCAGTCAGACTGAAAGGCCTTTTCAAGCAAAACACTGAGCCGATGTCTGCACACAGCGGCTTCTGTTCTTTTGGCTGAATGGGCTCTAGGCCCGACCCCAGCACTGCTAGCTGTGTGACCCTGGACAAGTTACTTCATTTCTGTGGACCCACAGGCAGGGCAGGGTGGATAAAAAGCTACCCAGGAGGTTAGAATGCAGGGACCTGCCGTCTAGGCTTGGGGCAGCGCAGGCCACACAGGGTGGGGACGGGCCGGGTAGGAAAACCCCGGCTCCCCTTTGCCTTCCTCAAGGGGTGGGTGACATATGAGACCCCCACCCCAACCAGGCCAGAAGTGGCAAGCATTACCCAAGTGGCTGGGATGTGTCCCTTTTGGGGATTTGCTGCCTCAAGAGCCACCCTAGAGAGCGTGGCTAATGTAAAGGTGGCATTTTCCAGCATGGTTTGAAAGGCTTGGCTGTCCCCCCTCAGAGCTGCCAGGACCACAGTCCTGGGTGACCCACAGTGAGTGCTTTGGAGTTGGCTGGGCAAGCCTAAAGCCCTCACCCCAAGCATAAAGAAGAGAGGTAAGGCAGGGCCTTAGTAGCCACCATGTCGGGTGCTTTTTCAATGAAAATAAACCGTGATTAAAATAACAGTGTAAGTACTGTTTAACCTAACCGATTATTAATTATAAGCATTTTAACTCTGGATACCATATAAAGAAATCCAGATACCTGGGTACAGCTGGTACTTTTGTTCCATTTAAACTTCATTTTTATTAGTAACTGTAACTAAACCTTAGCTATCATTAGCCCCAAGACGATCAGCTCCTTTCAAAACCCGCAGGGCCCCAGCCTAGACACGGCCTCCACCAGTCATTTGTGACTTTGATAGGGAAAATTCTTTCTCTGCTGCCTGCAGCCTTCGGCCTGGCTGGGATTGGGCTTTTTCCATGAGCTAGATCCCTGAAACTCTCCTTCTACGTGGCTGATGCAGGTTGCCGACGGCCCCTCTCCAAAAACTGCCAGCAGTTCGAGACCAGCCTGGCCAACATGGTGAAAACCCGTGTCTACTAAAAATATAAAAAATTAGCTGGGCATGGTGGCAGGCGCCTGTAATCCCAGCTACTCGGGAGGCTGAGGCAGGAGAATCGCTTGAACCCGGGAGGCAGAGGTTGCACTGAGCCAAGATCGTGCCACTATACTCCAGCCTGGGCGACAGTGGGAGACTCCGTTTCAAAAAAACAAAACAAAACAAAAACCTGCGAGGCTCCCTCCTGACTAGTCAGAGAGAACTGCTGGCTGGCCAAACAGCCGCATTGTTCCTCCAGGTCAGGAAAGAGTGCCTTAGCCTCCTTAGAATCGTATGCCCTGCTTCTTGAGGTTCACAGTGACACTGGTATCTTAAGCAGAGACTAGTTAAGGATCATCTCTTAGTTGGATTTTCTAACTCAGCCCTGTTGAAATTAAGTGCGTTTTTGCCCCTTATTTTAAAAAGGGGGCCAAGATCCATCTTTCCTCCGATTGCTTCCTACAATTTCACAGACTTCCTCCCAACTACATGTCAATAACAAAAGACATTGATCTCTTTCCAGAAATGACTTGCCGTCCCGCTGAGGCTCCAGTCTGATAAGGCAGGTGTGTAATCCGTCCATATCCTCTATCTCTTACTGGCTCCGTTGTTCTTTTCATTCCCCATTTTTCTTGGCCTATTTCTTATATGTCTTTATTTAGTTTTAAGAAGAGTGGAGAAAGAGATGTCTGTTCAACAAAATCTGAAAAGGGTGTGTCTGCTACAAGTGGGCCTCCCATGCCACTTGTCTCTGCCATCACTATCTCTGAGAGGCAGAGGGGAATGGGCAGGGGAGAGCCTTATGAATGACTGAGCCTCCCTGGTGGCAGGTCAGGTGGCCGGGCAGGCCCCATGAAGCTCTGACACCCACAGGGCTCTGACGTCCCTGCCCACCCACCATCAGGCATTTCTTACTGGATAGCACTGGCTTCTGGGTCCCTGATGGTGATCACCCAGCTTCCTTGTGACTCTGCATTCCCGTCTCTAAAATGGGCTTTTCCCACTACCTTGGGCCAGTCCTTAGCAGCAACGCAGCTTATTTCCTGCATTGAGTTTGGCAGATGCCCTCTCTCCCCAACTACAGCATAAGGTCCTGGGAGGCAGAGGGGCCGTTGACAGTACATGTTCTAATGTGTCTCTGAGCAACAGTGTGCTTCCTTCTGGCCGTGGGCCTGGGGCTGCAGCCACCCTCACAGGGCCCGACTGTGGTGGCGTCCCAAGGAAACGCGGCCCTCTCAGACACGCACTTTTTTTGTTTTTAAATGGACAGAAAAAAAGCCACATCATGAAAGTCCTTAAGAACTGGACCCTTGACCTAAAATGACCAAAGCTGAGAATGAAGCTGCCTCAAGTGCATCACAGGCCTCTTAGCCCAGTCTCTCAGCGGGTCTTAAATGCTACCAGCGGCCCCGCTGGCCCTGGGGAGCACCTGAGACCCCGGAATAGGCTTGCTTTCTCCTTAGCCTGTCTGGCCAACTGAGACCTGGATGTCATCCCTGCCCACCCACTGTCAGGCGTTGTCATTTCAGCAGAGACTTACACCTGAGACTGATTGGGACACCCGGAGACCACTCACGTATGTACCTGCCCTGGCTTTGACCCCAGGCTCTTGAGAGCCTAGCTCCCATCCGCAGAGCCAGACCCCCAAGGCAGCAGGGCTGGCCCTATTTCTTCCTGAGCAGAAGCTAATGGCATCTCCAGTCAGCTCTCCACACAGCAGGGAAGGGGCTTTCCATACCTTCGAAGGAAGGGCCTGTTGAGCCTGCGTTGCTGAGGGGCTAGACGGGGCCCATGGCGGAGGGCTGCCTTCAAAACAGCTGGGTGCAGAAATTATAGCTTCCTAGTGATGATCGGCCCCACTTTGCGTGGCAACACAATATGTTCCTAATGACTGAATTGTTTATTTAATAAAGAAATCACAACCATTTGGAGGTTTAAATATAGCCTCTCAGAAACCAAGTGAGCTCAGCTCTTGGTGGCTGCGTGGTGCTGGCACCGGCCCAGTCTCTGCACCGCACGAAGCCTTTAGCAATCGCTTGAAAAAAAATATTTTGCAAGATCTCTTGAGTTTCACTAACCCTGCTGTAGTTTCTTGAGTCTCTACTTGGCTTTCATAGAAGAAGCCAGTTATGTAAAAGTCAGAAACTACCTGCAGGTTCTGAATCAAATGGGGAGGGTCAAAGGTGGCTCTCCGCCCACCCGGGGGTTGCAGGTAAGGCAAAGTGGGAGGGGACCCCTTTCCCCCCACTCTGTCTTGGAACTCCAGGGAATGGCAAGGATGGGTCCCTGGAGTGGTTTCCTGCAGCCTGCAATACAGACTGTCCCATTCGAGAACCTTTTAGCTCAAAACAGCACGGCCAGCAAGGCCCTAGGACATTCCAAGCAAAACTGCTCTTCTCCTGCCTTCTCGGGGGAGTTAGTTAGGGCTCTGTCTCTGAGGCTCTGGGTAAAACCCAGGCTCTGACTTGCAGGGGAGTTCTTCGGCCTGAAGCCATATTCCTCAAACTCCCCGAAAACTCCATCCTTCCCCTGCCTCCCCACACGCCCACCTCCCACAGCCCAGGCCACCAATCAAGACTGCGAGACGGCATAGTGTACAAGAGTTTATTTAATGATATCTGAATTTAGTTCTATCATGTGGGGCCCACATTACAAGTTCCATCTGGGTCCATTACAACTCTAACCAACCCCCCACCCCCCCCCAAAAAAAAGGAAAGAAAGAAAATCCACAACTTTTTCCATGTCATTAAATATATTCATATATAATAACCATAATATATTAGTATGCATTGGAAAGGGACATTGACCCAAACAATACGTCATGGTCACAACTAAACATTTACAATTCTGAGTGAACAGAAATCCAAAACACAGGAGGGGGCAGAGGGAGGAGGGGAAGTGCATTTGGGAGGAGGGAATGGGAAGAAACGTCCAATGACAGGAGTGGGACTGGTTTGGCTTTTGGCAAGGGGCGAGACCCCACAAGTACACATTTTGATCCCCCCCGGTGTGCCATGGCCCACAGGAATGTCTTGTCCACGGACCATGGCCAGTGGCCCCATCAATGGGTCTAGTCTGTCCACTCTGGGCTTCAAGGGGACTTCCTTTAAGTGTTGACAGCCTAAGCGTCTTTCACTTTCCTGAAGGCAGGAACCATTCCCCAGTCCCTTAGGGTCTCTTCTTGAGTTCAGTCTCATTCCAACCTGGGACAACTCCAAGAAAGTAAGTCCGTACCCCTCTCCAGCATGCCGCGACTGAGGCAGAGTTCCAGGGCCTTGGAGCAGCTCCCAGCCTCCCTGGGCTGTGACCCTCCCTCCCTGGGTTGTGACCCCAGGTGTCCCTCCCTCCCACATAGAGGCCCCTGGGGATGCTGCCTCCTGCCCTGCTTTCCAAGGACAGAAGCAGTGGGCAGAGACCACAGCCAGCAGGTGAATCCCGGGGACAGCCCTATGTCCTCCCCCGCAAATCTTCGGCATTACTGCGTGTCCGTAAAGCAGGCACTCAGCTGTCAGGGGCACCAGACCACCCAGCTGGTAAGAAAAAGGACAACTGGGGAAGCTGTTTCAAAAACAAAGACTAATCTGGTATGTTTTTCTTCAAACAAACACCTACATAGCACAATTCTGGTTAATACACTCTTCAAAATCAAAATCTAGTTCCGTTTTACATCCCTTCCTAACTGTACAAACCGGGACACCTCAATTCCCATTTCCCTCTGCTCCTTGGAGTGGGGCACCGGAGTGGAGGAGGGGTGCTTTCCCAAGGATGGTGCTCACCGCAGAGGCCGGGGCTGCAGTCGGGAGTGGTGGGCTGGGTCCTGGCTGGGTGTGTGGATAGGAAAGGCAGCTCGTGACGACCGTGCAATCCCAACAGTGACCTGGCTGCTAGCATGGTGGATCTGGTCACCCTGACGCATTCCCCAAGGGCCAGACCACCGGGCGGACAGCCTGTGCCCTGCGGGGTGCTGAGCCGAAGGGAGGGGCAGGACACTGGCTGAATTTTCCGCAAGATGCCTTGTTGCTTGGCGTGTCGCCAGCTCCGTTGCTGAGGTGGCCTCAGAGACCACCACAAATGCAAGCCCCTCACAGGACACCCGTGAGACCCAGACCCAGGGTGGGATATCGTGGGGCTGCCACAGCCCTTCTGGGCAGGGTGAAGAAACCACACTGGCATAGACAGAAATAGGACAACCGCCCCAGCAGCGTAGTGCCTTGTGATGCTGATGGCGCCCAGCACACCACACTGGGCATCCGAGGGGCGCTGACAGCTTGGAGAGGGGCCCTGTCTTCTAGCCTTGGGCTGGATTCAGGGAAGCCAAATGCCCCTTCCCAGGGCAGGTCTGTCTGCTCCCTGCCCCTGAGGCACCTCTGCCAGTCTCTCCTGGAGTCTCTCCAACCACCCTGAGGCAGCCAAAACACCTTTCTAAAAACACCTTTCTACCACCTCTTCGGAGCATCCAAGGCCTGCCTTCCTGGAACCTGGAGCTGCCATCTGGCAAGTCCGTCCCTGCATCCCGCACCACTTTGCTGCCTCCTCTGAAGATGTGATTGTCCCCATGCCCTACCCCACCCCGGGCTCCTGTTCTCCAGCCCAGATGCCAGTGTCCTCAAGAGGCAGTAACCAGGGCCAGGGGCTCGGTGGCCACTCCCCCAAGAGCACCCTCCCAGCCTGCACAGGGATTGGGCGGGTAGGCTGCAGAGCTGGAGTGCAGTGAGGGCCAGCGTGGCCCCTGGTCAGAAAGTCGGGCTCTGGAGTTTGAGCCCCAGTCCTGCCACCAATTTGCAGCATGACCTTGGGCACGTGTACTCCAGTCTCCTTGCTGGTGATAATGAGTCCCTGTCCCACAGGGTTGTCATGAGTACACACTGGGAGCATGTGGGTAAAGTGCCTGGCACACAGCAGGTGCTCAATAAATGGCAGCCGTGATGCGGGTAAATGTGGGGAAGGCGGAGGGAAGCCAGACCACCGGGGGCCGAGCTTCATACTTGGTATGACCCTTTTGAGCAGCCAAACTCTGGCCGGGAAAGTGAAACCAATTTCCTGACTGTGAGGGGAGCCAGGCCTCTTAATTCAGTGCGCCGGGTGTGAGGATGTGGGCCAGAGGCCCGGGCAGTGCAGAGAGCCCAGGAAGGCAGGGAGCCAGGAGGCCCCAGGGCACAGGAATGGACCCTGTGTGAGGAGGTCAGAACAAAAGGGGCTGCCTGCTTGAGGACCGTGTCTCTAGGAGATTTTGGAAGGAGGGCTGGGGCACAGTGGAGGGCACGGGCAGACTCCACAAAGACCGTCTGGAAAGGCACGGTCAAGGTGTGGCCCAGGCCAGACCCAAGACAGCTGTAGGGGGCAGGCCGGCAGCCTCTGTGCCTTCCCTTGGAGAAGCCAGCATGGCCTCCTTGGCCCCCAGGAACCTGGTCATTCCTGTGCCCCTGCCCACCCATGGCTCAGGCACTCTGGTACTTCACTGAGCCAGCAAACCCCATCCCAGCTCAAACAAGCCCCCGGCCCCAAGCCAGGCCCAAGTGCCTTCGCAGCCTGCAGACTCCAAGCCCGTTCAGGCCCTTTCCAGCTGTTGACATTGCTGAGGGGCCTTGCGGGAGCTGATGTCATTTACATAAATAGTGTCACTGCCGTAAACCCAGCCAGTGCCCCTCCCCCTCCCCCTGGAAAACGTCATAAAAAGGGCTGGTTCCAAGTTTCCAAAAGGAAACTCTCTGGGAGGTTTTGCGTTTGCGATGCCTCCTCCAACAGGCAGCTCCAGCATGAGGCGGTGACCACCCGGCTTGGGCTTCTCAGGGGTGTCCCTGGGCCCACTGCCTTCCGGATGGGCCAGCCCCACGCTGGGCAGGGGCAGGGGCAGGGGCAGAGACAGGCAGCAGCAGGGGCTTCCTCTCCTCTCTCCACAGGTGAACCACTCACCGACCCCAAGCCCCCACCCAGTAGGACCCACTCAGCAGGTAGCAGTGGAGACAGAGGCCGCCTGGGGCATGCTGGCTGGACAGGAGCTGTCCACTCCCCAAATGCTGCCAGGCCCCTTCAGATGGAGGAGTCCAGGCTGTGACAGCCAGGTGGCCCGCGGGGAACTGCTAGAAGGGGCCGGGGAGAAAGGGGGGGATCCCGTCGGCTGCGTGTCGGGTGGTGGTTTGGTGGGTGCTCCGCGCCCCGCCCACACTACGGGCTTGAGAATTCACAGTTCTCCTCCCGTCCACGTCTCCGCGCCATCCACGCCCCGCGCCTGGGGCCCCAGTTGTGCGATTCTGCGCCCGCCCCCGGGCCCCAGGGCAGGCTGCCCCCAGCCCCTCCACGGCGGCCGCGCCCAGGCCCAGGGAAGCGCGTCTCTGCTCTGGAAGGAGCCCCGTGAGGTAGCTACGTCTCGTCATTTCTCCAGGGCCCGGCCGGCGGCGCACCCCGCCCCGCGTGCACGCGGCTCCCGCCCAGAGCGCGCAGGGTGGGGGTAGGGGGAGGGGCCGCCGAGGGTCCCGCCCCCCGCGCCGTGCGGCCCCGCCCCCTCCCTCCCCCCACCTGGGAAAGCCCTCGCGGGCCAAGTCCGCGGCGGCCGGGCCAAGGCGCCCGCTCTCGCTCGGCCCCGCCCTGGCGCCCGCCCGCCCGCCCGCCCGCTGCCTCGGCGCTAGGCCTTCTTGCACTTGCCCTTCTTCTCACGCTGCTGGAACTTGCGCAGCCGCCGCGCCCACGTGTCCCGCCACTGGATCACCAGGCTGCTTTTATCGGCCACGATGCCGCTCTGGTCCGGAGAGTCCTCCGCGTTGCCCAGCAGCAGGTACTTCTTGAGGGGCTTGATTTTGGGACACTTGCAGGCGATGTCCCGCGAGCGGATCCACAGGCTCTGGTCACCGCGGCGGATGCGGCTCGTGCCCTGCTTATACACGGAGATGATGTTCACCGTGAACTTCCACCAGTCCCCCGCCTTGTCCGCCTTCAGGATGTGGATCTGGACGGCTGCAAGGAAGCACAGGCAGACGGGTGGGCTCCCAGCTGCTGTGGCTAGGTCCGCCCTGCCTGAGCCTGGGGAGAAGGGAAAGGAGACCCAGCCCCAGGAAGTGACTGCACAGAGTGGCCCATACAGGAGCGCGTGGGTGGTGGCAAGCTGATCGTAGACCCCCACCTGCTAACAACAGGGCCAAGAAGCCTTGCCTCCCACGCTGTGAGGGTGCCACCCAGCACTGCCGTCGGGACAAGCCATCTCCTGGCCTTGTCAAGGCCCACTTTGTCCAGGAAGCCTACAGGTGCTGACCACGCCCCCAGCACTCTGGGCAAGCTGTCTGCCCAGGGCAGGCGCTCGGGTGAGAGCAGTGCTGGCGGGGAGAGGGAGGTTCCTCAGGGGTGCGCTTCTCCAAAGGCCCAAGTCACTTTACACCAGCCCTCATGACACTCCACACACAGCCTGGCCCTCCAACCAGCCTCAGAAAACCATAATGGGTCCTCAATGCTCAGGGACAGAAGATGAGAACCCACCCTTTGGGGTGGCCGTAGTGCCTTTTCCAGAGCCCCGGGAACCTTGGACTGCCGCTTCCCACGCCTAAGCCATCCCTACCAGGTGGCCTCCCTTCCTCCATGCCGCCCAAGGTCCCCAGACCATTCCTCTTACTCCAAATTCTCTGCCAGTATTTTCCCTAGTAGAAGGACTTCCCCAAATGGAGCATGCATCAGAATCCCCTGGCCGGCTTGTGAAAATACACTGCTGGGCCCCGCCCCAGAGCTTCAGATTGAACAGATCTGGGTGAGGCCCTAGAATATGCATTTCTCACAAGTGGTGCCGATGTCATTGACTCAGAGGACAAATGTTACCAGATGTCATTTCTGCAAGATAGTAAGGGAGATTTCAAAAATAAGAGACGCTAAATAAATGAGAAACTTTGCTCTAGTAAGTTTGTGAAATACTAGGTTAAACAAAGTCAAGAGGTTCCTTACTGCAAGACTTTTCAGAGCCTTTAACCTAAGAATCCTGTATACGTGTGTTGGTTTCTCAAACAACTGTGACTGCAGAACCCTTTGGTTGGTGCATCTCAGGTCACCAGAGCCTCATGGGGCCTTCTTGGGGACCTGCTGGGGGTGGACACATGATCATTGCCCCCAGACCAGGGGGTACCTGGAGGGGCCTCTGCTGTACTCACCTCTGTTCAAGAGAAACAGCCATCCACTCACTCCCCTGCCCCGCACTGTCTTCCCCTCACTGATCCCACCCTCACACACTGTAGCCTTCACTGGGCGAAACACCTTTATTCCCCAGGCTGGGCCATGGAGTAGACTTGAGCCCTCCTGAGACAGGAGCAGCAGCTTGAAGAAACCAACACACAGGCAAGCTCTGTGGCTTCAGCAGCCACAAGGACACCTCCCCAGGGAACGTCCAGCAGTCATCACTTCCCCACTTACCACTCCAGACAATGGAACCACCCCAGCTGAGCCTGCCCTCCTATGCTGGCTGGCTTCTGTCAACGTCTCTGGGGGCCACTCTGCTCCTGCACTCCGAGGGCACCCCCCTGCACCCACACATGGACCAGGGGATGGGGAGGGCAGGGACAGCCGAGTGCAGGAGAGCACTGAATGCCAACCGAGTCATCCTTCCAGGGTGAGGGAAGCGGATTTTCCCGTATTTTCATTTCAGCTGTTCCTGGGCATCCTGAACTTTGCACTCCAGTCTGAGGGCTCCAAAGAATGGCTGCCATGGCAACCGTTTCCATGTTTTTGTCACCAAGGGACTCAACACTCAGTGTGAACTCTGGGTGGGGGGAGCCCTCCAGCCCAGAGAAGTGGCTGGGCCGAGTGTATTTGACTGTGCAGACAGAGGTCACCGTGGCAACTGAGTGCCCCTTAGCTAAGCAATGGGGGAGCCACCCCCAGCATCCCTGAGAGCCCCGCTTTCCTCTCCCCAGGACTGAGCTGAATACGAATGAGCTCGGGATATGGCTGTTTCTGCCGTGCTGGACACCTCGGACCCCTTGTACAGCTGTGGTGTCCCCAGCCAGCATGGGCTGGAGCAGCCCAACAAGGATGCTGCAGAAGGCACCCTGGGCTGGGGCTCCAGGAGAGCTCAGCTTTGATCCCAGGCTCCGAGCATCTGTTGGTGCTGTGTGCTGAATGGTGTCCCAACAAATTCCTCTGTTGAAACCTTACACCTTAACCCCCTGGACTTCACAGGGTGACTTTACTTGGAGATAGGGTCTTTAAAGTATAATTAACTACCCATTAAAATTTTTAAAAATGTTAAGTATAATTAAGATGAGGTCATTAGGGTGGGCCCTATGACCTGTGTCCTTGTAAGAGGAGATGAGGACACAGACACACAGAGGGAAGACCCTGTAAGGACACGAGAAGGTGGCCATCTACAAGCCAGGAGAGGACTTGGAGGAAAGCAACCCTACCGACACCTTGATCTTGGACTTCCAGACTCCAGAGCTGTGAGAAATACATTTCTGTGGTTTCAGCCACTCGGTCTGTGGTACTTTGTTCTGGCAGCCCTAGAAGCTAATACAATTCATCTTGAAGATTTTGGGGATGTTGGGCCTCTGCTCAGGGCCAGGCAGAAGGGCAGAGCTGGCAGAGTCTCAAGTTTGCTGAGAAGAGGCTAGAGAAAGAGCTGGCTGGAGAAGGCCTAGCCTTAGACTTCCTGCAGAGGCCTCCCAGGGGGCCTTCTCACTCCCTGGGGTCATAGCAGAAGGGCCAGTGAGCCCTGCCCAACCCTCTCTGGTCTCTGAGCTTTCCCCCATCAGTGAATGCCCTGGAAACCAGGCATGGCATCCAAAGCAGCCCCCTGTGCTTCTCCAGGCACTGCCACACGGTCCTGAAGGGGACCTGCTTAACTGCCTAACACCAAGGGCAAAGCCCTGAAAGGTACCTTCCTCTGGACACCTTGCTGCCGGGAGTCCAGAGGGATAGAGCAATGGACAGTGGTCAGTCAGGACAAAGCAACCAGCCCTTGTCCTTCCACCCCCAGCAGATCTCAGCAACTCCAGGGGTGGGAGCTGTCCTGGCCGCAGGGGCAGGGACAGGTAGTGGTAGGACTCATGATTATGCTGGAAAAAGGCCACATTTCCGCTGCCCTTGGCAACACCTCTACACATTACACAGCTCACCAAGTATGAGCTACATATGCAGTGCATGGGCCAAGCCCCTGCCATGCACATACAGCTGAAAATATTCAAAATGCGCATTGCAACAGTGACCTCAAACAGACCTGCCCTGCAGGTCTGGGAGCATGAGCATCAGCACCCACACGGCACTCCACCAGGCTGCTGTCACCTCCGACCAACCTCTGGCTTGAAGCAAGGAATGATGGGGATCTCTGGGCTACATGGAACCTGGCGCCCCTCCCAACCCAGATGTACCTGTGATGTCACCCAACCAGGGGGCTTGGCACAGTGGTCTATGGGCAGCTCTGCCCATCTTAGGACCATGGCCTCGAGGACGGGCCTCTTAGACCCTATCAAGGTTTTAATGTTAGTACCCCCCCCCCCAAATTCTTATGTTGGAACTTGATATCCAGTGTGAGAATATTAAGAAGTAGGGTCTTTGGGACATGATCAAATCATGAGGATCTCACCCTGTGGATGGGATTAGTGTCCTTATATAAGAGGCTGACCGGGCATGGTGGCTCACGCCTGTAATCCCAGCACTTTGGGAGGCCGAGGCAGGCAGATTGTCTCTACTAAAATACAAAAAATTAGCTGGGCGTGGCAGTGGACGCCTGTAGTCCCAGCTACTCGGGAGGCTGAGGCAGAATTGCTTGAGCCCAAGAGGCAGAGGTTGCAGTGAGCCAAGATCACGCCACTGCACTCCAGCCTGGGTGACAGGGGACAGGGCGAGACTCTGTCTCCAAAAAAAAAAAAAAGAAAAAAAAAAAGAAGAAAGAAGAAGAGGCTGCAGCTAGTTCCCATGCCCTTTCCACTGTGTGAGGACACAGCAAGAAGGCAGCATTTCTGAAGCAGAGAGCAAGCCCTCACCAGACTCTGAATCTGTTGGCACCTTGATCTTGGACTTCGCAGCCTCCAGAACTATGAGCAATAAGTTTCTGTTGTTTATCAATCACCCAATCTAAGGGGTTTTGTTGCAGCAGCCCAGAACTGACTAAGACACACCCACACGATGAAACTCACCCCAAGCTAATTAGCCTCGGCCCTTAGCATGCCTGAACTCCCACTGTCCCTGCATTGATGTCCTAAAAGTTGTCTTCAACAACGCTGGAACAGGGGGGCTCTGCTGAGGATCCCCCACCATGTATTCAGAAAGGAGATGAGATTGCTCTCAGAAAGGCAGACGGTGAGGTCAGACCAGGGAGATGAGCAGTGTGCTGACAGCCCTTAAATTAGGGACTGCTGGCTGGGCACGGTGACTTACACCTGTAATCCCAGCACTTTGGGAGGCTGAGGTGGGTGGATCACCTGAGGTCAGGAGTTCGAGACCATCCTAGCCAACATGGTGAAACCCTGTCTCTACTACAAATACAAAAAAATTAGCCAGGCATGGTGGTGGACACCTGTAATCCCAGCTACTGGGGAGGCTGAGGCAGGAGAATCGCTTGAACCCGGGAGGCGGAGTTTGCAGTGAGCCGAGATCGCACCACTGCACTCCAGCCTGGGCAACAGGAGCGAAACTCCATCTCAAAAAAAAAAAAAAACCAAAAAACAAAAAACAGACAAAAAAAACCCAACAAATTAGGGACTGCTGGTATACAGGAAGAGGTCACTGCCTTAAGCCAGAATGGCCATTCTCTGAAGTGGACACAAGGAAGTCAATGAGGCAGATGTTAGCAGAGCCCCTCAACCCTGCCTGGGGAGGGGAGCCTGGCCTCCGCCTGCTGCTGCTTCTGGTTTTATCATAAGTGCTCAACGGCTGCGTCCCAGAGTCCACAGCTCAACTTCATCCTCCCTTCCTCGAGCCTTGCTGCCCCCAGAGCTGACTGCTGCAAGTGAGCGGGTACGCTCTTCCCAGGGGGCTCTGCTCAGGGCAGGGCTCTGCTGTCAGTGCAGACAAAACCAGGGTTCGGATGTGGGAACTGGAACCCTGGAGGCTGAATGGGTTGGGCTGACTGGAAGCCTAACTGAGCCCTGGTGCTCCACCATGGGGAGGAGGCGGGTGCCTAGAAAAGATGCCCAAGGGAAAGCAAGAAGAGAGTGCAGTTCCAGGGCAGCCAGGAGTGGCCTCTGCTGTCCAGGTCCTAGGCACCTGGCTGAGCTTTGTCTCCTGCCCTCAGCCCATGGGCCACCCCTCGTCTGTGCAGTAAACCCTCCTTTCCTGCAACCAGCCACAGAGCTCGGTGAACAAGGCTGCATGCAGGTGGGGTGGGGCAGCAGCAGCCCTCCCTCTCAGCAATTCTGGGGTTCACAGGAAGGTCTTTCATTCCAAGAACTCTCTCAGCCACCAGGACAGTGCGAGCTAAGAGGACTGGCTTCCCTTGCCCTAACCCACACCTGCCGCCCTGCCTACAGGGGCACACACCTTCCTCCGCCCCACAGGAGACGCCCACATGGGGCTCTGGAGGGCTGGCCGTGGCTCCGAGGAGGCAAGAAAGGGGCTCAGGGCCAGGTCCATGGGGGCCAGAGTCAACAAGGGCAGCCTGCCGCAGTGTGGAGTTGGTTACAGCCAATGGGGCAGGGGGCTAGGAGGCAGGCCCAGGGCAGGCTGGGTGCCTTGAGCACTTCCCTTGGGCAAGGAGGGCAGAAGTAGAATCAGAGAGCCAGACCCTGGGGAGGAGACCAGCCCTGTCCCCTGGGAGGTGGGCACAGTCAGGCCTGGCCTGTCCAGCCCTGGGTGTCTTTTCAGCTGCTGCTTCCCGCGTCCCTGGCTGCAGTGAAAGGCACCAGAGTGAGCATCTGGTCTTCCTTCCTGGGGTACCTCAACTTCCCCAGAGTCCCAATGTTGACCCATTACCAGGCCGTCAAAGGCAACCTGAAGAATGGGGAACTCTAGGTCACAGCCTATGCTTAGATTCCTCCAGAGGGGGACTTGGAGCATCCCTGTCCTCTGTCCAGACCCCAGTCCATCCAAAACCTCCCTCCCTCCCCAGTTCCAGTCCGGGCCCAGGAGCCACCATAGCCTGTGAGCTCTAGACCTTCTGAGGACCCTGCATTGTCACCACCCCAGAAAGTTGGTGGCAGGAGTAGATGGGAACTGACGGATGCCCCTCCTTGCAGATTTGGTGGACCTCCTGCTGGGATCAAAGCTCCCCGCCCGGGCCAGGTTGTAGGAAAGCTGTCCGGCCGGTGCAGAAGTTATAGATGCTGCCCATTCATCTGCCTGTTGGGAACCGACACAGGGCGGGAAAGGCCCAGCCCCGAATAAACAACTTGCAGGCTGGGCCCTGGGGGAGTGGCCGCAGCACAGACTCTGGGGGCTGCTGGCCCTTCTCCTTTCCCTGGCAAGGCCTAAGTGTGTGGGACACCTCCGCGGGGAGGCTTCCTACCTCCTGGAGGTCTCGCAGATTTATGGGCTGCTCGAGGTGGGCCCCCAGTGGCTCCCAGCAGCTTCCCCCTCCGAAGGAGGCTGAGGTGGTCAGCCTCTCCCCTCCCCTACACAGCCATACCTTCCTGTTGGGCCGGTCCAGCTAGGGGAGGCTTGTCACCCATCTGCCTCGGAGACAGCGGCCAGGACAAATGAGGGGGAGAATAGGAACCCCACAGAAACCATGAAAGCCGCACAGCCCCATAAATCTCCCGCTGTGGAAAGCGTGTCACGAGCTGCAGCTGCTTTCCTGAAATGCAGCTCTGAGCACATGCTTCCCAGGCCCTGCGAAGGGAGGAAGGGCCGCCAGAGCCAAGGCTTGGTCTCAGTGATGCTCATCTGCCCTCTCCTGACTCCTTGCCGGGGAGTGTGGGAGAGGGGGCCGCCACACCCGGGACGGGGGGTCACCGTGGCCCCTGCCCAGTCTATATCAAACAAGGCAGAGGGCTGGAGGCTCACTGTGGCCAGGCCTGGCAACTGCCACCGCTGCCCTCAGGAGTCCTCAGGGATCTCCTGCCATGTGCCTGCCACCGGGGCCCTGCCCCAGGACTTAGACAACATGAGGACACCCAACGTAGAGCTGGCTGAAGGTTTCCCCTCAACCAAAGACAGAACAGGATGACCCTCTCTCTCAGAACTGAAAGCAGTGTGGATGCTGCCTCAGTTTCCCCTGCTAGGTCCTGGAGGTCCTAGAGAGCCAGACCCTTGGGGAGGAGACCAGCCCTGTCCCCTGGGAGGTGGGCACAGTCAGGCCTGGCCTGTCCAGCTCTGCACCGTGAGGCTCAGCAGTGAGAAGAGATCGGGGACTGGCACCCTTCTTAGCAAGAGGCTTAAGTAGGGAGTGGATCTGGGCCCTGCTCTGCCCCAGCTGGGGTGCCCTCGGGATGCAGGCTGCTGCCTCCAGCACAGCAGCCTGGGGGAGAGCCTGCTGCCCAAGGAGGAAGCCGCAGCCGCCTCCTTCTCCTGCCTCCGAATTCCACACTTGTCCCCCCGACCCTTTAAGGGGCTGGGCCCACCAGAGGCAGGGACATGGCTGTCAGAGTCATCCTGAAGGGTGGACAGTGCTCCCCTCCCCCGAGGCCCTCCCACCTCTGGCTCAGCCCCAGTGCTCCGAGGCTGGCTGGAGCAGCCAACCAGCTCCCTGAACAAAGGCATCGGTGAGGGCTGGGCCCGCGGGACATGCCATCGAGAACCACCCAGTAGGAGGGTGGAGCAGTGAGCGTCCCCCCAACCGCCCCGAGGCCAGCGCCCTCAGCAGCAATGGGGGCCCAGCCTCTGGAGGAGGGAAAGTGAGAAAGCCAGCCTCCCTTGGCATGGGCTCAATCCAGTCCACCTTCAGCTCCCTCCGGGGCTCCCAGAAGGCTTGGTGTGGAAGGTGTTTCAGCCAGAGGCCCACCAGGCCTGCAGATGTATATTAATACCACTCCACAGAGCGGGAGTGGCCCGGCTGAGAACCTCTCAAAGACCGCCCATTTCTCCACCAAGGTGCCACCTCCAGCGAGCCCCTTTGCCTGACAGCCAAGAGCATCCCCTCACCGCAAGCCGGGCTGGCATTTCCAGGGCGCTCCCAGGGCACCCTGGTGTGGAGCCCTGTCCCGTGTGGGGTTAGCATCCATGCACTCTCTACACACGGGACTTGGCTCGGAACTCGTCAGCTCCTAAAAGTCAAGCCATCTTCAAAATCTGCTTCCCTGAGGAGACCTGAAGGAAGGAGCTGAGACCTGGGGGCCACAGCAGGGTGGGGGCAGAGCTGAGCGCTGCCGGATGAACTGACTCAGGGGTCAGGGCTTGCAAAGATGCCCCCCAAAGCTCCTGTAGACTACTTGGGAGGCTGGGGTCCCCCCCCGGGTACCCCATGGTATCTCAGAGGCCTGAGCCCAGCACAGGCAGAACTGAGCTGATAGGTTTGTGAAGACTTTGAGACAGGCCTCAGGAAGGAAACCCAGGAACAATGGCGGGGGTGCTGAGGTCCTCAGTGCCAAAGGCACTCATCCCAGGGGAGAGCCAGCGGGTACACCTCACGAAATGCCCACCCGCGCTCTGCGTCGGGAGAAGATCTCTGTGGTCACGGAGACACAGGGCACGGCTGAGCCAGGAGAAGACTAGCCTTTCCCGCCTGGTGTCCCCAGCCCCACACTCCGGGCACCTTGGACAGATCCCCACCCCACCCCTACTCTGAGCTTTGGTGTCCCCATCTGTAAAAGGGCAGGAGATACTGTTCATCAGATGCCTCTGTGGCCCCTTAGAGCCCTCTCTCCCCACCCCTCCTTCCTAAAAACAGGATGCTCAGAGGAGAGGAAAACAGCATCGGGAGAGACAAGAGGAAGCTCCAGGGAAGGAGCAGATGAGGGCCAGAAAGCTGCCCAGATCCCAGGGAGGGCCCTTCTGGGGCCCATCTCTCCCCTCAGGGCTCCCGCTCTGCGGGATGGCAAGTCGCTGTGCTGGGAAGGGCCGCATCCCCCCAGAGCCTCCTGGGCCTGGAGACCCCAGCATCACAGCACCCTGCCCCCACCGGGCTCTCACCAGAGCAAGCTTCCTGTGGGCTCTGGGGCTTTTCTGTCGAGCTGTCATGGGGACCGACTGGCCTTCCCTGGCCAACCTGGTGGTCACCCGCATTCCACGACCTCAGACTGACTCACGCGGGCCCAGCTCCACATCTGGCCTCCATATGGGGCTGGCACTCGGGGGGGGGGTCACATCTGGTGGGGGAAATCAGAGGATTCCCCAGGGGCCGGTGACCCCAGGGAAGGGTCAGCAAGTCTCCGAAACACCATGCCACGTGCTGCTGGCTGGTCTGCGTCCTGTCCCTGGACAGGGGGGCAAGCTCGGGAGAGGTGGCCTTTCGCAGCCATCACATCAGCTGCCTCTGGGCCCACAGCAGGGGCCCTGACCTTGGGGGACAGCCCCCAGGGTGCTCCTCTAACATCTCTGCCCACATCCAAGACATAGTAACTTCATCCCTACAAAGGGGCTGATAACCTGTCCAGCTTTCCACACTTGAAGGGATTGAGCCCGATCAGGAATAGCCATTGACTCCAAGGTCAAGAAAAGGAGAGAGGGTGCTGCTGAGGGGGAAGAGTCCGTCATTTGCTGAGAGGCCCCGTGTCCCTGAGGCTAGCTGGAGACAAGAGGCGGGAGTGGTGAGACCCTCCCCTCCCCGGCTCATCTGATTCCCAGCCTGAGCGACTGGACAAGGGCTGAGCCAGGACCGGGATCCATCCACCACCGCCCACCACACACTGACCCACATCAGCTCCATAGTGAGCTACGGTCATTCCCACCACTGCCTCTTCTCTATGCCTGCCTCCATTGCCAACTAGGTCTCCCCCCTCACCATCAGGGGTCTTCCTGGAAGCTTCCTCGAACACACAGCCATGCCCATCACCAATCCACCTCTGGACCACCACCCGCTACCACCAACATCCCTGCCACTATGCCCAGTGCCTCTGCTCCATCATCTCGGACATCCCCAGCACCACGGTGCCCGCTCCCGCCTGTTTGCCCATGAAGATGTCTCTGTGGTCTCTCCTCCAAGGCTCATCCAGAGTCAGTGGCCCCGATGGGGTCCCAGTTCTTGAGTGTTCTAAAGGACTGCCGCGCCTACTCCTGCTGCCAAAGCCTGGCCTCCCGGGTGTGGGAGAGAAGCAAGGTCTCAGCCGTGGAGTACCTAATCCCGCGCAGAGTATTTTATCTTGTTGAGTCTCAGCGTCCTATTGACAGGAATGAAAATCCCTCCCTCACAAGGTGTGTGTGGAGATTAAATAAGGATGAGCATCAAGGCTGTGATGTGCCCAGTCCGGGTCCCAGCAGCGGGAGGGAATAGTTGTTGGCTGGGCAAGCCCTCTACTTGGTTTCCACTGGTTCTGGAGGTACCGGGGCACGCAGACGGTATGGTGATGCAAATCAGAATTCTGCTCAGGTCCCCAGGCCCACTGCTTCCACGGACCCCCAAGAGAGCACAGTCACACACACACAGTCTCACACAGTCACAAACAGCCACAGTCACACACTCACAGTAACACAGTCACACACTCACAGTCACAGTCTCAGTCACACACACAGTCACAAACACAATCACACACGCATAGTCACACAGCCACACACCCAGTCACACAGTCTCACACAGTCACACTTACAGTCACAGAATCAGTCACACACAGTCTCAGTCGTAAACACAATCACACACGCAGAGTCACACAGCCACACACCCAGTCACACACGCAGTCACACACAGTCACGAACACAATCACACATGCGTAGTCACACACAGACACACTCTCATACACAGTCACACACACACACACACACACACACACACACAGCTGAACAGATCTGGCTTCTCCCCACAGATGCCAACAGAACATCCTCCTTGAGTTGTATCCTCAGAAATCATCCTTGTGGGATGTCAGGCGGAATACTTGAGACAAATCGTCCTGTGAGAAGCATTTTGATTTTTCCATCTGGTGGTGCCAAAATGTCTTTCAACAAAAGGGTGACTAATAAACATTTCTGGGAACGAATAACTTTTCCAAGAACTGGCAGAAGTGAGATGATCTCACCTTTCAGAATGTGAGCTCTCTGTCTCCCCCTCTTTCTGAGTCCCAGGGAGTAGGAAGAAGCCAGCGGCAGCACCCAGGCCACCTGAGGCAGGGGATCGGGGCGTGGATGGGAGCCCCCGCGTGTCCACGTGAGCTGGAGGGGTCAGAGTGGCTTCGGCACACAGATGCAACTGATGAGGCCAACACCAGCCTCTCTCCAGCCTCCCTGGGCCCCACACTGCACTGAACGCCCCCGCTCTTACTCTTCTCCCGTTTCCTCGTGCTATGCCTAGCTTCTTGCTTAGAGACCTTCCTCCCTCCACCGAGGAGCCCTGCTTTGCCCAGTGAGCACTGGCTACTCAGGCTCCCTCCTCCAGGAAGCCTTCCCACCCTTGCCCCCTCTAAAGAATGGGCCACACCGTGTGTGTGCCCACCTCAGGCTGCAACCCGGCCACACCCCCTCCTTCTGTGGCCCTTGTCTGTATGTCGGTCTCCCCTCCTAGACTGTAAGCTCTCTGAGGGTCAGGACTGAGCCTCACACAGATCTGCAAGCTCAGCACCCAGGGCAGGATGGGGCCCACAGCAGGTGCTCAATGAACGAGTGTGGAGGGGAGGCTGGGCCAGGACTTCTCGGGATGTGCAGTGCTGTGATGGTGTGTGTGTAATGGTGTGTGCATGTGTGATGCTGTGTGTAGTGGTATGCGTATAGTGGTGGGGTGTGTGTGTGATGGGGTGTGTGATGGGGTGTGCATGTGTGCGATAATGCGTGTGGTATGTGTGTAATAGTGTGGGATAGTGTGTGAATGTGTGTGATATGTGTGTGGTATGTGTGCCTGTATGATAAATGTGTGAGTCTGTGTGTGATAGTGTATCTGATGTGTGTGGTGTGTGTGCGTGTGATACGTGTGTCTGTATAAGTGTGGTGTGTATATCTGATGTGTGTGGTATGTGATGGTGTGTTTGATGTGTGTGCGTGATAGTCTGTGTATCTGATGTGTGATGGTGTGTGTATGCATGCGTGTGTGATGTGTGTGTGTGATAGTGTGTGTGCCTGTGTGTGATGGTGTATCTGTGTTTGATGTGTGTGGTGTGTGTGATGGTGTGTATGTGCATGTGTGTGTGCTATGTGTGTGACTGTGTGTGACAGTCTGTGTATCTGATGTGTGGTGTGATGGTGTATGTATGTGTGCATGTGGTGTGTGTGCCTGTGTGATAGTGTGTGGTGTGTGATGGTGTGTGTATGATGTGAGTGTGACTGATAGTCTGTGTATCTGTGTTTGATGTGTGTGGTGTGTTTGTGATTGTGTATGTGTGTATGCGTGCATGTGGTATATGTGCCTGTGTGATAAAGTGTGTGTGTGTGATGGTGTATGTGATGTGATGGTGTGTGCATGCATGTGGTATGTGTGCATGCGTGTGTGGTATGTGTGCCTGTGAGTGGTGTGGACGTGAGCACAGCGGTTGTGTGAGACGTGGGAGGCAGCGCAGACAGGAGGAGGTGAGGATGGAACAGTGGAGCTTCTTCCCAGGAGCACGGGGACGGGATGGGAGGAAGAGGTTGGAAGGGAGACGGGAAGGGAACAGGAGGAGGCAGAGGGGCTCCGCCAAGGAAGCCTCTTGGCTTGGTGGGGTGTGAGGCGGGGCCTCGGGGGGCGGGGCTGGGATGCTCCAGTTCCCTGGCGGTGGTTTCCGGGGCTGTGGTTTCAGGTGTGTGCTGTGTGACCGCAGGGCAGGTGCCTCCAGCAGGGCCTTGCTCCGCCTGTATCTGAGCTGCCCCACAGGATGCCAACTGTGTGGTGAGCACGCACACACACCCACGCTCACTCGCCGCCTCCTCGCAGAGGAAGGGTCCCTCCAAGGTTGGGCTTTCCTGAGAAGCTGGCAGGAATCGCGAATATGCTTGAAAATAATAAAACCTATCTTCTGGAAATAACTGCTACCCACTCAGCCTCCCTGGCGGCTCTCCTCCAAGCATTTGTAAGAACAGCCGGATCCCCTAGAGGGTAACAGAGGACTGAGTGCCCCAGGAGAGGGCGGCCAGGTGACCTGAGACAGCCTCCCCACGAGACCGCCTCCCCACGAGACCACCTCCCCACGAGACCACCTCCCCACGAGACCGCCTCCCCACGAGACAGCCTCCCCACGAGACAGCCTCCCCACGAGACCGCCTCCCCACGAGACCGCCTCCCCACGGCCCCCACCCCTTAGACACGGTGCCTGCTGTGGGCGGGGGGCACAGCCAGGGTCTCACTTAGAAGGATATCATGTGCCCTCCACTACACCTCCATGTGACAGATGAGGAAACCGAGGCCCCGGCGGCGAAGCTCCCTGTCCACAGTCACACAGCAAATTAGGAACCTGCGTCTCCAGCGCTCCCTTCGGTCCTGGGGTCCCTCCGATATGAGTGGCATGGCAGGGCCTTGGCACTGAGGCCCCCCCCCGACCCCAAATCCCTTTGCCTTGCTTCGTGCCCTTAAGCCTACGGGAGCTGGGCTCTGGCTCTCTGTAAGCGTGTGCCCGAGAGAACACGGGACAGGGCCGGCGCCCCGAGCCCACAGGCCCCTTCTCATGGGCCCCCACCGCCCCAGCCTTCCACCCTCTGGCCGCTGCCCAGGTCCGCGGAGCCCCAGACCCGCGCTCTTCAGCCACACGAGGGCAAGGTCTGCGAGGCCTGGAGGAGGAAGGGGGTCCGGGGCTGCTGGCAGCCGGGCCTGCTCTTCACCCAGCAGGGGCAGCAAACCCCAGGTTCTCATTAGCGGCTTCTGGAACATCCAAGTGCCCTGGGTGAAGGAAATGTGTTTCCTAATTGGCCCCCTGCCGGGTGTCAGTCAGAGAGCGGGGATTATGCAGCCTCCGAGGGAGCCCCTGCCCGGCCCGCCCTGGCCCGCCCGGTTTGGCGGCCTCCCCTGCTCTCTCATCCCCAGGCCAGATCCCTCCTGCCCTCCCCCTACTGGTCACCTTCTCCCTGGGCTGGCCCAAGTCTGTGTGGGAGGGACACCCCCTTACACACCTTCTCAGGGGGGCCAGGGGCCCAACACAGGACACATGGGAGATTCTCCACAGACGCCAGCAGAGCCCACTGGAGGCCTTGCCTCAGCCTCAGAGAAACCCGTGGGCCTGGCATTGTCCTCAGGGCCCCCCGCCAGCCCCTGTGGGGGCACTCACTCCTCTATGACCAAACACACTCCCCGAGGCCCTGCCACCCCACCCCGCAGGGCTCCTCTGAGCCCTCCGCAGAGGCCCGTGAAATCCCTTTCCAGACATTGTTCTTGGCCTGCCTCCTGCCTGAACACACAGGCTGAGCTGAGGGTGGGGAGGACTCCCCAACTTTTTATTTATTTTTTTTTTTGAGACAGAGTCTCACTCTGTTGCTCAGGCTGGAGTGCAACGGCACGATCTCAGCTCACTGCAACCTCCACCTTCCAGGTTCAAACAATTCTCCTGCCTCAGCCTCCCTGGGATTACAGGTGCACACCACCACACCCAGCTAATTTTTTGTATTTTTAATAGAGACGGGGTTTCACTATGTTGGCCAGACTGGTTTCAAACTCCTGACCTCGTGATCCGCCCACCTCTGCCTCCCGAAGTGCCCCCAACTTTTAAGTGACCACAAGAGTCCCAGGAACAGTCCTGGAACCAGAAACACCACACCACCCCCAGGACTGAGGAATCACAGGGAGAGTGTCAGTCCTGGCTGTGGAGTCACAGGCTTGGAGTGTGGTGAGGAGGACATGAAAGCTAGTGGTGCCAGAGCCCCAGCCCCCATCAGCTCCCAGGGGGGATCCCACTGTGCCCCCCCACCCCATCCCCACCTGCTGTTCCTCCAGCCTTGTCTTGCAGCAGAAATGTGGACAGCTGGGTGACGCGCCTGGGCCATGGGTGTGGGGGCAGGAGCCGGGTAACCACCATTAGGTCTAGAAAGGTGAGCACACAGGGCTGGCCCGCAGCTCTCTGGAGGAATTGTGATGGGAAGGAAAAACTCAAGGAAGGCTGCTGTGGAAGGGGCGGGAGGCTGGGCCACTCCCTGGCTGGGTAACTGGGCAAGTCATCTCACCCAGCCAGGCCCGTGTCACTGCCTATGACCCAAGCAACCTGAAGCCCGCTGTCCCTGCTACCTGCTTTGCTGATAACCCATGAGGGAGTCGGGTGTCGGGCAAAGGGAAGGCTGAGTCAGGGAACAGAGGGTCCGATGGCACCCTGAGGCTCTGCCCCACCCTTCCCCGCCCCAAGAGAGATGCCCCCCATTGCCCAGGGCGGCCACAACAGGGCAGGGCGCAGGGAAGGCCTAAGGGGCTCCTTCGAGTCTACGAAAGGAGGGTGTCAGGTTCGGCAGACAGAGAGGGGCTGCCTGAAGAGAAGAGGTGAGGGGCCAGGAGAGCTCTGAGGGGCCAAGGTGCCCCCTGGAATATTGTTGGGGAGGCAGAATTCACTGGAAGGAACAAAGTCAGAGGACAAGAAAACCAGGTTGAGTCAAATAGAATCCAGTGGAACACAGGATCAGTTTTGGGCCCTTTTACAAGCCCCATTTTCATGATTTCATGATTAAAGAACAGAGCAGAGGCTGTGGGTCAGTGCCTTCCTCCTTGCTCCCAGCTGCCTCTCCACAGTGTAGCTGCTTAAAGAGTTCTTCGAGACTAAAACCAAACCAAATAGGCGATCAAAACAATCCATTCCCCAAGCAAGCCCACCTATTCCTCTCCCTTCCCCTCCTACCTCCTTGCCGAGGTTACCCCTAGGCCTTGTGCAGGGAAGGATGGGGAGAGGAGAAGCACAGGGCTTTCCCTCTGCGACCCATTAACTCCTCTGGGCCCACCGCTTTGCTAGGAGGACAGTGCTGCGGTGCCCAGGTCCAAAGCCTAGGAAAGCTACAAGAGCCTTGGGCGTCCTGCTCAAGTCGTCATCTCACAAGAGGGCTGCCTAGGGGAGTGGAGAGAGGCCTGCCCCATGGCCCACCTAACAGTCCCCAGGGGACACTGAAGACCCAGGGCTGGGAGGATGCAGTCCCTGCAGCTCCGGGGCCATATGAGCTCCTTTCTTTCTTTTTTTTGAGACAGAGTCTCACTCTGTCGCCCAGGCCAGTCTGGAGTGCAGTCATGTGATCTCAGCTCACTGCAACCTCTGCTTCCCAGATTCAAGGGATTCTCCTGCCTCAGCCTCCCGAGTAGCTGAGATTACAGGTGTGCGCCACGACGCCCAGCTAATTTTTGTATTTTTAGTAGAGACCAGGTTTCATCATGTTGGCCAGGCTGGTCTCAAATATTCACCCTCAGGTGATCTGCCCACCTTGGCCTCCCAAAGTGCTGGGATTACAGGCGTGAGCCACCACACCCAGCCCTGAGCTCCTTTCAAAACAACCCAGGGCCCCTACTTTCCTGGCTTGGAGACGCACTTCCTTTATCTTAAAGTAATTGCAAGTTTCATTTCTAAATCTAGGTTTATTTTCCCGTGGGAGGTGGAAGTTTCTGCACTGCCCTGGGATGTATACAGCTTAACGCAGCTTTTAGGAATTGACTGTAGACCCCTGAAGGGCCTTGAACTTTGATGCCCATAGCCTGGCAGCTTCTGAATTGATGCATAATACCTGCCAGCTGCTCTTCTTCACCCTGTAGAAGGCCAGAAGGCCTGTGGGGAATGGGGCTGAATTACTGGGGTCTTACCCTGGCTTCAGTGTGTGCGTAGGGAGTGTGCGTATGAACTCTCTCACATACACACACACACACAATAAACGAGAACATTTTAGAAGTTCTCCAGATTCCTTTAGATACCTTTGGGCCTCGTCATTCATTTCACTGTGCTAAAAGGTCCTGACCACTGTCCTTATTAAAGAAGAAAGCCTTGTTCAAGCAGCTGGCCCAGTTAGGATCTCCATGAGGTCTGGGTCCCAGGGTAGGGCTGCCGGACCCCCACGGGGTCAGGGAAGGGACGGAGCTCAGATTCTGGATAGTGAGGCCTCCTCCACAGGTGGCCTTCGCTTCTCACCCCTCTTCTTCCACCGCCGTTTCCTCCCTCCTCCTCTTTCCTCACCAGCTTCCTTTGGACGCAGAGGTCACTGTTTGCTGGGAGCCTGTTAGGCACCCGTGCTCTGTCCTCCCCGTATACACTCAGCAAGTGGCATCATCTCCATCTTACATATAAGGAAACTGAGGCTCAGGTAAGCAATGGGACTCATCCCAGATCCCCTGAGAAGCATATGATTAGGACAGCCTTGGGAAGCTGAGCAGAACAGAGAGGTCGTTCTGCCTTCCCAGAGGTGGCCAGGAGGTGCTGGGGCTGGCAGGGCCACTGAGGGGATAGGGGCTGCACCTCCTGGGGTCAGTTAAAGATGGGACAGGAAAGATGGGCTATGTCCAGCTGGAGTGAGGAGGAGGACGGAGGGAGGTGGGCAGATGTGGACTTTCGTGGGCCCAGAATTGGGGGGCCAGCCCCAGGCTCAATCCCTGGCCCACCAGGTCAAGGAGAGGCCCCGTGCTAGAAAGAACCAGGCCTGGATTCAGGAGTCCTGGGCCTGGGGCTCCTTCCCGGCCTATGGTGGGGGCCTCAGCCACCCACATGGATGCCCTGGCTGTATGCGGGGGCCTTGCCAGTGGTCAGCTGGACAATGCTTTCAGGGTTTCTATTTGCGTCCCCCATTCTGAAGAGCCCCTGCCACCAGCCCCAGCTCTTCACACACACCTGCCCGCTGGCCACTGCGGGGCCCTCCTCCTGCAGGCTCCCAGACCATCTCCACTCTCCACGACCACCATGAGAGCAAGGGGACAGGACACACCCTTCCCGGGAAGGGAGCCTGAGGTCACAGGTGACAAGCAATCTCTGCAGGTGGCCCCCAGGACTGTCTGCTCCATGGGTCTGGGCAGCGGAACTTCCGGTGCATGGGAATGAGTGGTGAGCCGTTTACAGCGCAGACTCCCGGCCCCGCTACAGCCTGGCGGAACACTGGAAATGCACCGGGGAGCTCCCAGCCCTTGTCTGATGCCCAGAGAGCTTCCCTTTGAGCCACGTGGACTCGGGTCAAATCCCCGCAGTATGATGCAGACACAGAAGACCACAGAGGTAAAGCCACTGGTCTGTGGCCACACAGCCCATCAGCGGCAGAGTCAAAGCCAGAGGCCAGCCTGGGTGTCCCAGCCTCAGGAGGGTGAAGGGGAGAAACCAGGCCACTGGGCTCCTCATGCCCCCGTCTCTGAGGGCCAAGGAGGAAAAGATGAGAAATTCCCAGGCGTGGGATCCGTCCGGCTAGTTCCCATCGGTCACAGGGTCTTCACGACCAACACCCATCGGGGGCCAGCTGCACCCCAGCCCCAGCACCTCGCTGGTCACGTGGCCCCCTCCCATCCTCCCCAGACAAGGGGACTCTCACTCACCATAGTCCTTCTTGCAGTACTTTTTCATGTTAATCTTCAGCTTCCCCTTGGAGGCCTTGCAGTAGGAATCGCAGTCTGCAGGGGGGTGGGGGGGGAGCACAGACAAAAACTAATTAGGCTGGCGATGAATAGGCTGGCGGGCAGAGTAGGAGGCCGCCTCCCTAAATAGCCAGAGGCCTGTGATACCCATGGGCCAGGCCGGGCGGGCAGGCGGCCATTCAGGAAAGGCCTGCGCTTCTAAAGAGGCCTGAGGGACAAAGGGCCCCCGTCCGACCCACCCACCCCCTCCCTGGCCTGACGAATCCCTCAGCCACCGCCTGCAACCACCCTGGCCTCCGTGAGAGTCTCGGGGGGCTCCTGCCACCCAGGGCTTCTGAGCACCACACAGATTCTCCCTATTCTTAAGACTCAACTGGAGCCTGATTAAAGCCGATAGAGGCCTCATTGTCACCCCGCGCCCTGGGTCTGTGTCAGGCGCTGGCTTTCATGGTGCGGAGCCTCTGGCTGGGGTCAGGCCTCAACAAAAGAGGTCACAGGGGAAATTAGCAGCCCATGAAGCATTAAAAAACCCCTTTGGTGTTCACTCTACTGCAGTGTGCAAATAAAATGCCCCACGAAGACGAGTTCAGTTCTAATGGGCCCTACTGGTGAGAGGCAGGGCTGCTAGGCCTGCGTCCACTGGGTATCACTGGGGGATTCCAGGGCCCAACCGAGAGCCAAGCAGGATGTGGAGGGCACCAGGGCCTGCCAGCCCTTGGGCCTGTGTCAACCCCCAAATGCAGCTTCCCACTTCAGCCCAACCATGGCTTTTCCCTGCCAGCCATCGCTGTTCTTTGAACAAGGAGACACAATTCCTTCGCCAAGTCTGTGTGTGACAGCTTCACGTGACGGCACAGCCCACCAGAGCCTCAGCAAATCTCCCCCAGTCTGCCCTGCCCCCAGCACTCAGCAGGCAGGATCTCATTCAATTCTCCCAACCCTTCTTTGATGGGTAGGTATCATTCCCATTCCACAGACAAGAAGACTGAGGCTCAAAGAGGGTAAGCCACCTGCCCAGTGCACTCTGGGTAGCTACTGCCAAGGCTGGCCTGAGATGCCAAGATCCCTGCACTCTTGGTTAGGCGATACTCTGACAGATTCCCCCTCAGTGTGAGCAGAGGTGAGCTCAGAGCCAGGGATGAGGAATGCCCTGTATTTTAGCAATTCCCAGACTGCCTGGGGGAAGACCAGCCAGGCTGGCCAGCGGGGAGGAGCGGGGAGCTGCAGGGAGCTGCAGGGGGCCCAGCCTGTTCTAGAAGCAGTGGTGGCATGGGTTGATGGAAGTTGGCTGGGTGTGTGTCCTGGTGAGGGATTAGGAAAAGAGGACCAGGAGGGGAAAGATTCAACACACACGTGCACACACACGTGCACACACACGGGCGGCTGCTCCAGGGGCAGGTGGCAGCGTCCTATCCCGCAGAGGGGAAAACAAAGGTCAAGGTAGGGGAGGAGTGATTTGTGTGGGAGCACAAGGGGAAGCCGAAGCAGGAAAGCAGAGGCCTCCCAGTGCCACCTGCACCCCAACCCAGGACTTAGATCTGCAGGGAGTGTTCAGGGAGACCTCTCCAGGGCTGGCCTCTGGCCTGTGAAGGCCACTGCCTCCATCGAGGTCCTGAGATACATTGACTGGTGCCTCAATGAAGATCAATGCAGCTCTATCCCACTACCTTGGGGGCCATGGGTGTGGTAGCCTCCCACCGCTTCCTGTGCCAGACTCTTGGGGCCCCCAGTTAGGAACCAGTCTCAGGAAATGGGAGAAAAACAGCCCTGCTTCCTGCTCCCTATGATCTGAGCCCTCGGAGCCCCTTCATGACACCCCTGCTCCATGGCACTGGTGGCCACAGTCCCCATCCCTCCTGCCATCTGGATAGCAGCTTGGTTACTAGAGTAGGGATTTCTTGGGGTGCAGGGACTGGGCTGTCCAGAGAGAGTGGCCCTCACTCTACTGTGGCCAAGCCTGAGAGGTTGGGATGAAAGTGACGGCAGCCCAAACACTCAAGTCAACGGCGCCATCAGCACCATCAGCACCGCGGCCGCACTTCCCTGTGAGGAACAGCCGCTCTGGGCCACATCTTTGCCAGCTCAGGGATAGATGACGCTCACAATAAAGCCACTGCTGGGGCTGAACCCAGGTTGTGCGTAAGTCCTGGCGATTCTGCGTGAGCTGGCTGAAATCCCTTCCTGCTTTCTCCACTTAGGGAAGCGAATTGGAATGCAAGTTGTGCCGAGTGACGTTCTTGCAGGGGTGGCCTTCAATCCACTCTCCTCGCAATTTTTTTTTTTTTTTTCACAAAAGCCATCATCCCACACCAGCACTTTCATTTCCAATCAGGAGGAAATCCCTTTCACCGGCCTCCTCACCATGGGCCAAGGCGCACCTCTCCATCTCAGCCTTGTAGATAGCATAGGCTGTGGCAGAGGGGGTGCCTTTGAGCATGTCAGCTCTTCCGAGCCTCATCTGATGCTTTGAGGGAGGGACTGCGGTGCCTAGCTTAGAACTGAGAGCTCAGAAAGGTTCCAGAGCAGCCCGCCCAAGGTAAGCCCCACCCCGGGGGTGGGGGGCGGGGCAGGAGGAAGGCAGATGAGTCCTGGGACAGCCTGCCCCTGTCCCTTCAGCGTCACTGTCCCAGCCTAGAAACCTCTACAGCTCTTCTCTCCAGAGCCAAGTGTCTACCTGGGACAGAGACTGCCCTAGAATGTGTGGCATCCATCACTGCCTAATTACATTGCACTCACAGGCCCTGCTTGACAAATCACAGTCATCACCATGAATATCCAGTCTGTACCTCACTAATGGCAGCTACTCTCACGAAACTAATGAGGCGCTGGGCACTGTTCTCACGGTTGATGAACTCGTCTTGGCCCTTCAATCAGGCCCCATTTTACAGATGAGAATCTAAGGCACAGAGACATTGGTGACTCACCAGCTCAAGGTCGTGTGCCCAATGAGGCAGTCTGGCAGCCCAGTCCCTGCTCTTAACCTCCTGCTCCCAGTCCTGGCTATGCAGTGGCATCACGATGCCTGGGTCCCACTCCCAGGACTTTCTGATTTCTTTGTCTTAGGGAATGGCCGGAGTGTCTGAAGTTTTAATGTTCCCCAGATGGTTCTAAAGCACAGCCAGGGTTAGAACCACAGTCTGAACCAACTGTGAGAGATGGGGACAGTCTCCACACCCATGATTTGCACAGAGCACCCAGTGTGGCAGAGGAAAGATCCAGAGAAGGTGGCTGCTGAGTCAAACTGGAGAGTGCTCACAGGGAGAACCTCAGGCTGCTTGCCCTTACAGAAAATGACATCACCCTCTGAGCATTTGGAGTTGCGTTTGCTTTTTTTTTTTTTTTTTTTTTTGGTGTCTTTCCTTTCTGTCAGCTGGAAATTCTTGTCAGATCAGTGTGCTTGTTGCAAAATGTCCCCTATGCCCTTCAGATTTGCTAGGAAAACAAAGACCAAGCTTGCTAGAATTGTATGTAAAATACAGGTAACTAGGCTTGGAAGGAGAGGCTGAAATGTTCTCCCTTAGGTAAAGTGAATAACCTTCAGAACATGGACACTGTGACAGCTATTTGGCTGCTTGTGGACTCTTTGTTTAGGTTGTATTCCAGATAGCTGAGGTCACTGGACAATGGCCCCCGAATAAGGAAAATGTTACCGTATGTTCTCTCTCTATGGTACACACAAAGCTACAGAGAGTGCTTCAAGATGGACAAACCACACCTTTAAAATGCAGCTTTGACTCCTTCTTCAAACTGGCATCTATTTGGCAGCCTCTCATGTAGCTCCTCCTTGTTTTGTTCCAAAACAGCCATAAAGACAATGAGGAAACCTGAACATTCACACTAGTGCCAAAAACGAAACTGATGATGACCCAACGCTGGGATCTGGGAGCAATCTCTAGTAATTAAAGGCAGATGGTGGTGGACTAAGCAAAACCTGTTCAGGTTTTACCTCAGGACACAGCTCTTTGTCTGATGAGCAGAAAAGTCCTGAAAAAAGGGAGGAGGACACAGTGACAAAGACCAGAGAACAAATAAGCAGGAAGTGAGTGGGGGCAGTGGGGACGATCCCTCCTCCAGGGAGGGGAAGTTTCAGGACCACTAGGGACCAGAAGGACAGCAGTACAGCAAAGATGTCACCTTATATTTCTTTTTTTTTTTTTTGAGACGGAGTCATGCCCTGTCTGTCATCCAGACTGGAGTGCAATGGCATGATCTCGGCTCACTGCAACCTTCGCTTCCTGGGTTCAAGCGATTCTCCTGCCCCAGCCTCCCGAGTAGCTAGGACTATAGGCACACACCAGCTCGTCCACCTAATTTTTTGTATCTTTAGTGGAGACAGGGTTTCACCAAGTTGGCCAGGCTGGTCTCGAACTCCTGACCTCATGATCCACCCGCCTTGGCCTCCCAAAGTGCTGGGATTACAGGCGTGAGCCACCGCACCCAGTCTCACCTTGTATTTCTATCTAAATCATTGCAGAGAATCAGAAAATCAGGCAATGCAGAGAAAGGAAGAGCACTACCTCCACAGAGCAGAAGGAAATCCAGGGAAAGGCTGGTAGGAACCAGGAGCTGAAGACAGAGCTGTGCGCCTTCCTGGCCATCCTCCTTAAATCTGAGATGGGAATCCAGCCATTGCACCAGTACATGGATCTGCAATTTTTTTCTTCTTCAAAGGACCAAACGGTGAATACTTTAGGCATAGGGGACCATAAAGTTGCTGTCACAACTATTCATCTTTGTCACTGTAGCTTAAAAACAGCCATACACAATAGGTGTACATGCCAAATGGGCATGGCAGACTAAAAAGACTAAAATGACAAAGCCTCTATGAACTAGGAGAAGAAAGGCAGTAAGGGAGATTAAACTGAGCTGAAACAAAAAGGGTGATGCATAAAAGAAAGAGTTGGAAAAAGATGAAACCCCTGTAGCACAATTAAAATCCCCTTCAGAAGGGCTGGGTGTGCTCTCACACCTGTAATCCCAGCACTTGGGAGGCCAAGGCAGGAAGATCGCTTGAGGCTAGGAGTTCAAGACCAGCCTGGGCAATGCTGCAAAATTCCGTCCCTTAAAAGAATGAAATAAAACAAACAAAAAGACCATAGCCGGGCGTGATGGTTACTTGGGAGGATGAGGTGGGAGTATTGCTTGAGCCCAGGAGTTTGAGATTGTAGTGAGCTGTGACTGCGCCACTGCACTTTAGCCTGAGTGACAGAGTAAAACCCTGTCTCTAAAAATAAATAAGTAATCCACTTTGAAAGCAGCAAAGATTCATGATACTGTAGAAAACTGATCCAGAAACATGGAGAATAAATTGGAGAAACTCTTACAAAATTTAGAGGAAAAAGACAACCTACATATTTAGAAGGAAAGAGCTCACTGAAGTTTTCCAAAAATCAACAAAAGGGGACCAACATCCAGACACATCTTTGCAAAACATATGAAATACCAGGACAAGAAAAGAATATATACAGATTAAACAACAACAACAACAAGCCAGTGAGATGATCATGGAGCAATGTCTATAAGGTCTTAAAGGGAAAAATTTGTGACCTAAGATTTTTATACCTAGCTAGACTGTCTTATACTATATAGGCCACAATAAAGAAAAAACATTCTCAAATGTGCAAGGGCTCACAAAATGTTCCAATTATGTATCCTTTTTGAAATAAATACTTGAGAATGTTTTCCAACCAACTATGAAATGAGTCAAAAGTAAGAGTTTACAGGGGAAAGTGATGGCATAAACACAAGGTGATGTGATTGATATCTCTGTGCTTACTGGTGATGAAAACTGAAACCAGTAAACATAGAGATGCCAAATTTGGTTCTTAAACATAATGCAAATATCAAAATTATTTTTAACTGTTTGAAAGGGAACATCAGTGGCTCTGTCTCCTTCTCTGTCCCCATGTGTGTATGTGTGTGTGTGTGTGTGTGTGTGTGTGTGTGTGTGTGTATCTATCTAGCTATGTATATATAAAATATTTAAATTTAGTTTGAAACTTCAGATCATATTAAAAACTATGAAGTAGAATGAGGTGGGGAATAAAACCCTTTGTCTTAAGTATAGAGAATGTAAAAAATGCTATTTCATGCTCGATTCTGACAAGTAAGAGCTATTAGATCAACTAATGCTTCTGAAAAACCCAAAGATAATCACAGAACTCTGGAGAAAAACGATATAAATTATAGGTAATATGCCAAAAGATAAAACAGAAAAAATGAAAAATATAAAAAGCAATTATGATAAATTAAGATCACAGAAGAGCAACCACTAAAGACAAAACAATGAAGGTAAATGGATCCAACTGCTCTACTGAAAAACTGAATTTAAAACAGAGTACTGTTTAAGGGGAATATAACCAAATAAAATGATTTTCTTTTTGAGATGGAGTCTCACTGTGTTGCCCAGGCTGGAGTGCAGTGGCGTGATCTCAGCTCACTGCAGCCTCCACCTCCTGGGTTCAAGCGATTCTCCTGCCTCAGCCTCCTGAGTAGCTGGGACTACAGGCGCCTGCCACCATGCCTGGCTAATTTTTTGTATTTTTAGTAGAGACGGGGTTTCACTGTGTTAGCCAGGATGGTCTCGATCTCCTAACCTCGTGATCCGCCTGCCTCGGCCTCCCAAAGTGCTGGGATTACAGGCGTGAGCCACTGCACCCAGCCTAAAGTGATTTTTTTTAAGAGCTCACAACTTAAGCAGTAGCAAAGATGTATCAGCAAATGAAAACAAGAAACGAACCAAGAGTGGAAATGTTAGTATCAGCAAAGTAGAATTCAAGGCAAGCATGTTTATAGTGGAAAAAGAACATCACCTAGTAATTAAACAAGGATTTTTTGACGTAGAATAACATCTCATTGAAATATATTAAGCAAAAATCAATAGTAATACAAAAATGAAACAGACAGAAATCCTTAGTGAAAGAATGCTAAATTAATCCCAAGAAGCGCAAACTATACAAGCCACATTTCCTGACCACAATGATATTATTTGTTATTAAAGAAGAAATAATGAAAATAAATGAAATGCATTCAATTCTAGAAGCTAGAAAATGAGCAAAACAAAACCCAAAGAAAGCAAAAGGAATGAATTAATAACAACAGAAGTAGAAATATAGTAGAATACAGAAAAAATACATAAATACATCCAAGAACTGATTCTTTGAAAAGCCCAAATACAAACTAAAAGAAAAAAAAAAGACAAAACACTGTCATGTTTAACTACAAATAAAAGAAAGAAAACGGAACTTTAAGAAGTAACAAGAAATAAATTACAAGGCTAGTATATACAACTTTAGCCTAAAAATCTTGGAAATCTGAATGAAATGCAAAATGTTAGGAAAACATAAAGGAGCAAATTAAACTGAGTAAGAGACATGGAATCTGAACAGAAAAATAGTCATGAGAGATGTCTGGATAGAGATGGTTTCAGAGGTAGGTCCATGTAAACATTTAAAGGACAAATCGATTTCACGCTATTTGATCTGTTCAGAAACACAGAAAAAGATGGAAAGCTATTAAGATGAAACAGATGACAGTGCTAAAAATGGACCATTTTGCAACTTTAAAAAAGCAGTTTTATATGATTCAGCCTTAATATAAAAGCTGGCATAACCATATATACACACAGACTATATGGGCCAATTGATCAGCCTCATTTACCAGGAGACCCAACGTTTTATGCCCCACAGTTTCCCATCCTACCACCACCCAGCCGCTGGGACCCCATCCACCCTGCCAGGACATACTTGCTCCATGCAGGAGTAACAAGTAAAGAGTAGGCAGAACGCCCTGCTGCCCTGCTCTCTCAGGGGAGCCTCTGGAGCTAGGATTGAGGGCACAGGTAAATACTGGCAGCTCTGCAGGAGGTCCTGCACCAGGGCTGCCCTTCTATCTCACTCTACTGCCCAAAAAGAGACAGAAGCTGCCAGGGCTGGACACAGGCACTGCCTGGCCCCCTACTCGGACGTGCTCTGTCCCAGGGAGAGCCACTGAGACCTGGAGGCCACCATCTGCCTGGCTCGCAGCAGGCCCATCCTGGCTGGCTGGCATCCTGGCTCCTCCTGGGAGCAGCCTACCCTCCCTTTTATTCCTCCCACCTGCTCCCCTGACCGACCCACAGCCAAGAGCCAAGAGGTGGCCTGCAGGCCCAATCCCAGCGGCCGAGACCGTCCTGCCTCTTCCTCCACCTTGGGTAGCTGGCCCCTCTGGTCTGCCTCCTGTGCCCCAGGTGCCAAAATCCTGCTGAGCCGGCCTGCTCGCCGGATCGAGGCTCATCTCTGAGCATATGGCAGGCAGAGCCCGGCGGCCACGGTTGAAGCCAGGGGCACCGCATCTGGCACCTCCCCTTGGAGCAGGGCGGGGAGCTGGCAAAGGTCTCGCTCTCAGCAGCCCTGGCCCACTCGCTCGCAACACCTCTGCCGCTCTGCTTCTGGGCTGTCGGGCTTGGGAAGGTGGGGCAGGGGGTGTAATGAGTGAGGGACACCCAGCCAACATGGTCTGTCCTCCCCGGGCAGAGAAACCTGGAAGGGTTGGGTAAGTTGCAGACGCCAAGGGCTGGGCGTAGGGGAGGAGCCCCTGGTTCTCCCTGGCCCAGGGTGAAAGAGTTTAAGGGGAGAAAGGCTGGGGCTAACAGGGGCACCCAGCCAGCTCTGTCCATTTCGGCTGGGCCATTCTGCCCACCAGCAGGTGACAAAAGGCAAATGAGGCCAGTCTGCCCAGAAAGTATGTTTGGTGCTGCCTGATCTAGAACCAGAAAGCTGCATGGAATCTCCGCGGCCAGAGAGTCCAGATTTCCATGTGTTCGGTTTTCAAGGTGCCGCAGGCATCCGTGGGTTTCATAAGGGCCATCATGCGCGAGGCATGATGAGAATGGAGGACACACTCCCCAGGAAGCTGGCTCTCACCTCTTGGTCCTAGGCTGCAGGTGACTTCGTGACTTGCCCCACCCTGCCCCAGGTAAGACCACCTTCTTACCACCCTCACCAACAGCACCTCATCCAGGGGTAGAGCCACCTGTCAGGGAGAGCTGGGGCCCACAGGCAGATCTCTAGCCCCCACCCATCTCTCTAAGCCTGTACTAGTCTCGCTGACCCAATCCATCACCCTCAAGCCCTACCTGCCTCAAAAGCAAAATGCTCATTTGACTTTGGGCCTTGGGGGCAGAAAGGCTAACGATGCCCCAAATGAAGCATCTTCTAGCAATGGACTGGCCAAGGAGCTTAGCAACCTATGGAAGTAAGGGTCTAGAAGCAAGCCCAAAATGTTTGTAACACAGGAAGCCAAGGACTGGTGTCTTTCACATATAAAGAACTCTTCTGAATCACTAAGAAAAAGACAGCAACCAAAAATTCAAAGGGAAGGAACAGGCCATTCACAAAAGAGGAAATAAAAAGGGAACAAAGAGATGCACCCATGTTCAATCTCAAATTATCAAAGAAACAAAACATAAACCAACAAGAATATAGCGCTTCTGCCTAGCAAACTGGTGAAGGCAAGCATACACACACTCACACGATATGGCTGGGGCACAGATTAAAATATGAACTTTCCCGAGCGTGGCTGGCATTGAGTGTCAAAACCCTGAGAACATACACATGCATACTCCAACGCAGCAACCGCACTTCTAGGAATTTATCATCCATTCATTCGAACGTTTGATGAAGCACTTCCCACATGAACAGCTCTGGGAGGCACTGGGTGATCCCCAAGGCTAATGGAGCAGTGGGTGGCATCACAGCAGGAGGGGAGAGGCCAACAGCACGAGTGTCATCACTCCCATTCCTGACGGTGACACTCAGGAAATGATGACAGTGAGCCGAGCACACTGGGAGGGAATGCGTGGGGGCAGGGGGCACAGGTGGAGACCTACTTAGACCCATCCCAGGAGGTGACACTCAGATGACAAGGGATCAGCCCCAGGAAGTGCAGGGAGGAGCATCCCAGCACTCGGCAGTTGCAAAGGCCCCAGGGCAGGAAAGTGTGAGAAACCAAAAGGAAGGGAGACTGGAGCTGGCAAAAGCTGGGGTTTGCACAGCCAGAGATGAGGCTTACAGTTTGCAGGGAGTCCCTAGGGCCTTTTCAACAATGGCAGGGGTTTGGATTTTATTCTAGAAGAATAGCATGTGCCAGAAATGTTGGGTGGTGGGCCTGTGGCTGGTTTTTATACTCTTGCTTTATTGTCTTAGGTATATTTTAAAATTTACTGCAATGAGGATACAATTCTTGTGTTAGAAAGAAAGAAACACTAAAAATAGTCTAAGGTGAGGCTTTTTTTTTTTTTTTTTTTTTTTTTTTTTTTTCAGATGGAGTCTCACTCTGTAGCCCAAGCTGGAGTGCAGTGGTGTGATCTTGGCTCACTGCAACCTCCACCTCCCAGGTTCAAGCGATTCTCCCGCCTCAACCTCCCAAGTAGCTGGGATTACAGGCACCTGCCATCATGCACAGCTAATTTTTGTATTTTTGTAGAGATGGGCTTTCACCATGTTGGCCAAGTTGGTCTTGAACTCCTGAGCTCAGGTGATCCGCTTGCCTCGGCCTCCCAAAGTGTTGGGATTACAGATGTGAGCGACCGGCCGAGGTGAGGCTCTTCTTAGCGAGGATGAGGACCATTTACTTACAAGGGGTGGGAATCCTATAGTAAATGACATCTGTATTCAACAAAGTGACATTTCTATTTCCAATCTATAGAGCTTCTGCTGTGGAGAAGTGCTACCCCCTCCCCAGGAGACAGCAGAAGAGTGTGTGTGTGTGTGTGTGTGTGGGTGTGGGGGTGTGTGTGTGTGTGCACGCACATGTGCCTGTGTGTGTGAGGTTTCATCCTCTCCCTGAATGCCAACTGTGTGCATGGTAAGGTGGCTGGGAGTGAGGACAGTGCCATAGCCAGGGTGGCTGTAGACAGCTCCCTGAGGGGTAGCCCATGAACAAGACCTAAACGGTGCAAAGGAGGCAGGGCAGGAAGGTCTGAGGGAAGAGGGTTCCAAGCAGGAGGAGCAGCCTGTGCAAAGGCCCTGAGGCAGGACCCAGCTCGGCATGGTTCAGGGACTGGATGAAAGTTGGAGTTCCTTGCACGGACGGAAGGACAGGGGCAGCAGCTGAGAGATGAGTCCCAGAGCTTGAGGGGCCATGGGAGCTGGATAGGGTTTGACTTCTTTTTTAAATGTCATGCAAAGCCACCCCAGGGGCCTGGCCTGGCCCAGGTCACCTAGGGCTGCTGGGTTTCATCACATAGGGCAGAGGCTGGCTTTTGCTCTCACCCTCTCAGGGACGGTGCCCTGACTGCCCAGGCCCCACCTCATGCCCAAGGTTACCAGAACGTGCTCTCCACTCCGTACCATGGTTACAAAGAGCCAGGGTCTGGCTCTCAGGAGCCTAGACTGTCATTCTGCTGCCTGAGCTACATTCTGTCTCAGGGACTGCAACTATGTATTCAGGTGAGGAAGCATGGGTGTGAGTTTTTTATACCGGCAAACTGAAGCACTGGGTCCTCTTCCTGCACCAAGCTGGGGTCCTCGGGGCTTCGCTGGTCAGAGGGGGCCCTGGTGCCCTGGCCCCCACCAAGTGCTGCCCAGGGAAGCCCTGCCCTTTCTTTCTGCTGCCTCCCTAGTTGTGGCCACCTTCTCTGATGGTTCCCTTTGGTGCACCAACAGGGGCAGAGGCAGGCTCCTGGAGGTGCACACAGCTGTGCAATGCACACCCAGGGCCAAGGCCTGCCTTCCTGTATACTGTCTCCTAGAGAGCCACCCACTGGGACAGCCTCAAACACCAGGCCTGAGTCTGACAGGTCCGCTCTGGCCCCCTGCAATATCGATTTTCCTTTCTTCCTCAAGAGCAAACCCTAATGTCTCCAATCTAGAATACTCTTCTTCAAAGATTCCCTTGCAGCTCACCGTGGCCATGAATCTACTTCTGGCCCCAGGACGTAAGTGGAAATCTACTGAGCAGGGCTGCAGGGAAAGGGTTCACATCCAACCTATGATCTGGGGTCATTCACCATTCCAAGTTCTTCATCAGTAAAATGTGGTAGTGATGATGGTCATAACTGCTACCCATTCACAGGATTTAGGAGGAAATGACTATGGTGCCGTGAGATGGGTAAGGGGAGGTCAGAGATGGTCTCAGCTGTGTCCTGAAGGATGAGAAGGTGCTGCCAACTGCATGTGATGGGCTCCAGGTGGCCTCCGACTCTGCAGCTGAGAGTGGAGGGTGAATGATGGCAGGCCAGTGGGAAAGGCAGGGCCAGATCCTGGGGCCTCTTGAGGCCAGGAGGAGAGCTGAGATCTGAGATGCAGTGTCCTGGGTCCAGTCCTTAGCAGATACAGGAAAATGGGTTGGTGTGGTGGGATCTGGCTGATGCAGCCCTGTCTCCGGACAGGAGCAAGGTCCCTTTCTTGGCTGTGCCACAGGCCTAGAGCCAGGCAGGGCTGGGGATGAAGAGTACATCAGGCCCAAGGGGGCGTCTACTCCTCCCCTGGAGTGCACGGTGGTAGAATCCTATTATTTGCAAAATAATATCTGGAAAAAACAGGACCTAAGCTCTTGGGTATTAGGAGAAGCCGGAGGCCATGAATGCCTTTCCCCTTGGCACTTGTGCTTGGAATCTGTTCCTGTGCCACTTCCCTGTGTAGCCTTCCTCTCAGCCCCAGGCACAAGAAAACCTCCAGGTTCTTAGCGCCCATTTCCTGGTCTGGGATTTTCTGTCTGCCTCCTCCCCTGGCAAATCGGACCTTGGTGTCCCAGCACCTAGCACAGTGCAGGTCACCGCTGACTGCTCAGCGAACCCACTGGCACATACACTCTGGACAATAAGCTGACTGCGGCTGTCTCTGTGAGACACCAAAGCTGCCTGGACCAACGAACCCACAAACACAGGCTCCCCAAACAAAAGACGTCAGCCAGCACCCTTTGCAATTATTCTGATGATACCCCTGAGACAGCCTGGGTAAAGGGCTTAGGCTTTATTTATTTATTTATTTAGAGATGGAGTGTCGATCTGTGGCCTAGGCTGGAGTGCAATGGCATGATCTCAGCTCACTGCAACCTCCGCCTTCCAGGTTCAAGCGATTCTTCTGCCTCAGCCTCCCGAGTAGCTGGGATTACAGGCACACACCACTACGCCTGGCTAATTTTTGTATTTTTGGTAGAGATGGGGTTTCACCATATTGGCCAGGCTGGTCTCGAACTCCTGACCTCATGATCCACCTGCCTCAGCCTCCCAAAGTGCCGGGATTACAGGCGTGAGCCACTGCACCCAGCTGGTTTAGGCATCTTTTAAACCTGCCAAACTCTTTGACAACAAAGAGGGCACGAGTTGGGCTGGAGAGGGTTTGAGTGGCACCAGAAATCAGAAGGCCATGCCACCTTTAACAGATGTACAGCTAATATCTGAAAAATGGGACCCTTGAGCTCTGAATCAGAAGGCTTTTCTGCAGGCCTCAGCCTGCTGTCTATGGGGTGTGGGGTGTTAGTTGGACAAGAACATCTCTTCCTGGACCCCAGGATACAATCCGCGGCTCCAGTGGCAATGGTCTCAGACTACTGATGAGCTTCAGGGCTGCAGGATGCTGGGAAGTGGAAAGGATCTAGCAGGACAGAGGGGGTGGCAGACAGGCGACCAAGGAACTCAAAATGCTGGCTCTGTGACTTACAAAGCTGTGTGTCCTTGGACACATTGCTGCACTTCTCTGAACCTCCGATTCCTCATTTATTAAGCGGGGGTGAGCGTTTGTAACAATCTTTTAAAGTTCCAGCGAGATGAAGCCCGACATGACAGGCACTAAAAAATGTTGGCTCTCATTATCTTTACTCTAGTTTAGGAGCCATGGCAGAAAAGCAATTTTATTGTATTACTGGCACATCCAATTATTTTAAACCCAAAGATATTTCTCACTCAAGTATGTCCTTGATTCACTGAATAATGGCTGACCTCTGGCTGTTCTGAAAAGCAACTCCATCTGTAGCGGATGTGGTTCCTTCACGGCACTTGTCACCCTGTGCAGTGATACATTTTTCAGTTTGGTTTGTTTATTGTATCTCTTCCTCCCCAAAGTGAAGTCTTCACTGCTGTATCCCCAGGGCCCGGGACACATAACAAGCCCTCAATAAATATTTGTTGAGCAAGTTCAATAAAAACGGGCGCAGCTGCCACCACTGTGCGGCAGACAAAGTGACCCTCAGCCGAGCAATTCCGGCACTCCCATACTCCAAAGGTGGAAGTCACCAGGCTCGAGTCTCTGTAAACAGCCGAAAAGTAAAGGCTCCAAGCAGGAATCGGAAGGGCAGAAAAAGGCAATTTTGGAAAATGCTGCAAAACTTAAAAAGCGAAGCTTGGAGAGTGTGGCTCCGTGCCTGGGGAGGAGAGCAGGAGCCGATAAATCTTCCCTCTCCAGGGAGGTTTGAAGGGCTTTGGTGTTTTGTTTGGACTTTAATAACACAGATCCTAAATCCACTGCCTTATGATGAAAATATATTTGCAGATTTAAAAATATGGGGCATTGGATTCTGAGGGCAGCTCTCACAGGAGGAGCCAGGAAGGTTCCGAGGCTGGGTGACCTCCTGAGGATGAAATCCCCTCCCAGGCTGCCTGGCCTGGAAGCCCATCCCGTGTCATTCCTGCCTAGTGCACCGGGACCCCCAAAGGGAAGGCACGGAGAGGCACGCTGGGGTGGACTTCTGGGAGGGGGCAAGCCTGCCAGGCTTTTTCTACCTGAGCCGCCCCAGCCCCCTCCCCCCGAGGGCAGGGCAGTCTGCAGCCTGGCTCAGGGGTGGGGTGGCCGGGCTGGGAGAGGTTGGGGGCTGCACTGACCATGTGAGATGGGAGCTCAACCCCTCTTCTCCACTTGGAACAAGAGGGTGCAAATGAGTCCCCAGCAGGCTCTTTCTTTTTGCTGAACAAGATGGATTGGAAAACAAATTGGCTCAAATAAAGCATGTAATTAGATTAAAGCCTCTTGCCCAGAGCATTTGGGACTGCAAAAAGCCCTCCTGACTGGAGGCAGGAGACCTCAGCTGGCTGAACCAGCTCCTGGACATCCAGAATTTTCTCTTGACCCTCAGCTGCTCAGTCCCAGTCCTCCCCAGCCAGTGTCAACTCTGCTGAGGAAATTGCTTCTACCGCGAAGTCACCCCAGACCCTGCTCTGCCACCAGTCCCAGACCTAGGGGTCACCCTGTTCCCAGCCTACAGATGCTGCCTCAGCCTCAGAGGCATGCCCCAGTTGGAGCTCAGCCCGTCTGCGGCAGGAGCAACCGGAATGGTGATGAGTCTACACCTGCCAAGCTCTCACCAAAGTGCTTTCCACCCAATGTCCCGAGTAAGCTGCACAGCCACATAGGAAGAGGCAGTTCGGGTGGTATTAGGACGGCCATGGCCATTACACACAGGAGAAAACAGAGGTACAAGTGTTCAGCATCCAAAGTCACTGGCCGGTGGGGGCCCATTCCCTAACACAGCTGCCTTCCACTCCAGCACAGGACAGAGGGGTCTCTTTCCATACACAGAGCCATGGCAACCTGTTGACTAGTGAGTACTGACCCTTAACCTCCCCCCATCGCAATGCAGGAGCTGCCCCTTCTCTCTCTCTCTCTGAGACAGGGTCTCCCTTTGTCACCCCAGCTGGAGCGCAGAGGCGCAATCACAGCTCACTGCAGCCTCGAACCCGTGGGCTCCAATGATCCTACTTAGCCTCCCACGTAGCTAGGACTACAGGTGCACACAACCAAACATAGCTAATTTATTATTTTTTGTAGAGATGAGGTCTCACTATGTTGCCCAGGCTGGTCTCGAAGTCTCAGGCTCAAGTGATCCTCCTGCTCTGGCCTCCCAAAGTGTTAGGATTACAGGCATGAGCCACTGCACCTGGCTGCCCCTTTTCAAGGGACCATCCTTTTGGCTTCCCAGCCCTCAGGCAGAACCTCCGTGTAGCTTCCTCTACCCCCATCTATTCTTGCCACCATACCCTTCCCCAAATAGTGCCCTCATGTCCATGAGGCTTCCTGCCCCTCCTCCCACCAGCCAAGCCTTTAGGAGATAAAGTGGTGTTCACAGCCTTCCAGGGGAAGTGGGCCACATTCAAGAAGTTGCTGCACTTGAGAGAGCAAGTTTCTCTTCCTGCACCTGTTTCTGAAGTTCCTCATCCAAATGGCAGATAAGTTCTGGCTCTTAATGGTAATGAAAGCCCAGGCAGGGAAGAAGAGAAAGAAAAGAAGAAAGTGTGAAACCTGGAGTTCCTATTTTGAAAGGCCTGATAATGAGCAACATATCTTCAGAAAAAAAAAAAAATGAGGGTTGACAGCACTGATGGAAAGCAAGTGAACAGGCAGCACACAGACCACCGGTTACTCTACCCAACCTCATGGCAGGCATCACTAATCAACCACAGCACCCTAATGGGGCCCAGAACTCAGTAAGGTATTCCTCATTGACGTCCTTCAACTTCCAAGCTCTGCATCCTACAGTGGCTATTTGGGAGGGTAGCTGTGTCTCTGCCTGGTATGTGAAGGGTAGGGAGTTGCTTAGTGGGGAAGCTGATGCATCCTTGCTATCCCCGATTCACTGCCATTTGCCACCGACTGATAGACTGGACGCAGGCCACAGAATCCACCCCCTTGGAACTGAAAGGGTTGCTTGGCTCACGCCTGTAATCCCGACACTTTGGGAGGCCGAGGCAGGCAGATCACATGAGGCCAGGAGTTCGAGACCAGCCTGGCCAGTGTGGCGAAACCCTGTCTCTACTAAAAAATACAAAACTTAGCAGGGTGTGGTGGTGGGCGCCTGTAGTCCCAGCTACTCAGAAGGCTGAGGCAGAAGAATCACTTGAACCCAGGAGGTGGAGGCTGCAGTGAGCTGACATGGCGCCACTGCACTCCAGCCTGGGCAACAGAGACTCTGTCAGAAAGAAAGAGAGAGAGAGAGAGAGAAAGAGATAGAGAAAGAGAGAGAGAAGGAGAGAGAGAGAGAGAGAAACAGAGGAAGAGAAGAGAAAGAAAAGGAAGGAAGGAAGGAAGGAAGGAAGGAGGGAAGGAAGGAAGGAACGGTTACTAAGGGTGGTCTATCCTTGCACTCCTGTTGCCATTCCCATTCTCTTAATCTCCCTGAATCTCCCTCATCACCGATCCTAGGACTGGACAGGACTGCCATCAGCTGAGCCTCACCTGACTTCTGTCACCCCACAGATGGCCTTATCTCCACTTTCTGGCACAGCCCAGCACAAGCCTTCCATCTGTTTCACCCTCAGAACAGCCTTCAAAACTTTTGAAGAAGGAGCCCCTCCCCTTCCAAGGCTTCCTGGTTCCTTCAAACTTAGAGGGCATGGTTTTTAGAAACCCCATTATGCTGCTTCCTCTTCCTAGACTCTCTGGTCCTCAGTTCTTTTTCTTTTCTTCCTTTTTTCTTTTCCTTTTTTTATGAGACAGAGTCTCACTCTGATGCCCAGGCTGGAGTGCGGTGGCATGATCTCAGCTCACTGCAACCTCCACCTCCCGGGTTCAAGTGATTCTCCTGCCTCATCCTCCCAAGTAGCTGGGATTACAGGCGCCCACCACCACGCCTGGCTAATTTTTTTTGTATTTTTTAGTAGAAACAGGGTTTCACCATGTTGGCCAGGCTGCTCTCAAGCTCCTGACCTCAAGTGATCTGCCCGCCCCAGCCTCCCAAAGTGCTGGGATTACAGGGGTTAGCCACCGCGCCCAACCAGTCCTCAGTTCTTGATATGAGAATTGAAGAGACCAGCCATTTCCTCCCTACTTTACAGACATCTATGTTGAGCCTGAAAGTGCTTCAGATTCTTTGGAAGGTATGATAGAAACCTCCAAGTGTTGTAAACTGGAGCCACTTATCTGTTTATCTTCATTCTCTGGAATACAGGTGAGAACTAGGCAGTAAGAGGTTCAAACAGTCAAACTACTATCACAAAGGAATCAACACATTGGCAGGAGGAGGGAACAGCTGGCAAACAGAGGGCAAAGAAGAGGCAGAAAATTATGAAACCAGCCGGGCATGGTGGCTCACACCTGTAATCCCAGCACTTTGGGAGGCCAAGGCAGGCGGATCACGAGGTCAGGAGATCGAGATCATCCTGGCTAACATGGTGAAACCCCATCTCTAGTAAAAATAAAAAAAATTAGCCAGGCTTGGTGGCCAGCGCCTGTAGTCCCAGCTACTCGGGAGGCTGAGGCAGGAGAATGGTGTGAACCCGGAAGGCGGAGCTTGCAGTGAGCGGAGATCGCGCCACTGCACTCTAGCCTGGCCGACAGAGAGAGACTCCATCTCAAAAAAATAAAAAATAAAAAAATAAGAAAAAAAGAAAATTATGAAACCATGAAACACAGACGCAGAATATCGCAATATCATTTTGAACAGAGGCAAACAGTCCCAACAGTTGAATAAGATTTGTAACTATGACTGTTCAGACAGCACGATTCCTTGTGCCGTGGCTGAATCATCCTGAAAAGTAAAATTATGTTTGTTGTGCATTGCTTAATAAGGCAAAAAAGTTGGTGATACATTTGGAAGAGATTTCCACTCCAAATTTTTTTTTACAGTTTTGTGGCATTTCAATGAATAATGTGTCTCAGGTTTCTGGGAACCCTATTTATGGGGAACCACTCAACCCACAACAATGTCACACCATGGTAGATACTGAAGTCCCCCCACCGGCAAGACCAAATTCTGCTACCTTCTCACATGGAGAATAAAGGTATCGGGTTTGCTTTAGGAAAGTAATGAATTCTCAATACACTCCAGGTACCCACAGACTCAAATGACCCTGTGTGGAAGGTGCTAGCAGAAACACAGCCAGAGACGCAGCTGCCCTCACAAAGAGCCCACTGTAGGGTGTGGAACCTAGAGGCTGAAGGGCATCAAGAGGCCAGTGGATAGCCTGGACTTCATCCCTGCTCTGCCCATCTCAGCAGGACATGTCTCAGGCTTCAACAAGTTGCCAAGTTCATCTTTTATATCTTTTTTTTTGAGATGGAGTCTCACTCTGTCATCCAGGCTGGAGTTCAATGGTGCGATCTCAGATCACTGCAACCTCTGCTTCCCGGGTTCAAGCGATTCTCCCGCCTCAGCCTCCTGAGTAGCTGGGACTACAGGTGCGTACCACCATACCTGGCTAAGTTTTTTTTTTTTTTTTTTTTTTTTTTTTTTTTTTTGTGTGTGTGTGTGTGTGTGTGTGTGTATTTTTAGTAGAGACGGGGTTTCACCATATTGACCAGGCTGCTCTTGAACTTCTGGCCTTGTGATTCGCCCGCCTTGGCCTCCCAAAGTGCTAGGATTACAAGCGTGAGCCACCACGCCCGGCCCGGTCTTTTATTTCTTAACCATCTCTTCTCCCTCCAAGAACTCCCCAGACACGGGATTTCTAACTGCTGCTCCATATTTGCTTCCCAGTTTTAGAGGGCATCCTCTGAGTCTGTTTCCCTGACTCCCTGTCATCCACAGACCAATGGGAACTGGCGTGAGAGAATCACAGCCCAGGAGCTCAGGCATGGCTGTGGATCCCACAGATCCCCAAGTAGTGCATCTGATCCGTTGCTAGGAAGTTTACCTATAGGCCTCCCAAGAGACTTCCAAAACAATTCTGGTGGACAAAGGACTAACCAGCTTTCTCCTACAAGGGAGGCCATATGTGTGAGAGGCACCATTGAGCTCTATTCCTGGAAGCCAACATGCACCAGCTCCTGCTAGAGCTGGGGAACAGTCGCCTGAGTCCCCTTGGGACAAGTTAACAGGGTTAATTCAGAGCCCTCTGGTCTCATGTTCCTCTTCCCTTGGAAATCAGGCCTTATGGTAGCCCTGAGGTCCAAATCACCCACTCCATGCTCTTCCTCATGGTAATATGCTCACCAAAACCTTGAGCCACACAGTAAGTTCAGAACTCTTACAGCAGAGATGAGCTCTGTAAGCCCAGGAGGAGAGCACAGAGATTTCTGCCTGCTAAAATGAGCTACCTCCCTGGATGAGGGGTGTCTGACCCAGGGAGTTCCCATCTCTAGGAGGAAAAGACATAGAGACCAAATCTGCATTCGAGCCAGAGAAACACCTGCCAGCAGCCTCCTACGCCTTCTTCAAGATGCAAATTCTGCCTCATAAGATGAACTTTCTAGAGTTTTTGCTAGAGGAACTCAAGTTTCCAGCTATGCCACTAGTTCTAAGTATCGTCCTCTATTATCTGCCATCTGTGCCATTAAAAAAAACAGCAGCCCATCCAGAGAGGCAACAAGACACCTTGTTGGACTTGAGGCTTCATTCACTTGGGCTGCAGAAGACTTAGCAGTCTCTTAGTGACGCCTGCCACTGGCTCAGGCCCACCAAAGGTTATGTTGGTATCTGCTGACGTGTGGATTTAGTTAACAATTAACAATCTGAATTAGAATATTCTATTTCTGTGTCTTTCTCACACAGTACACCAGTCCCTTGAGGATAAAACTCCATGTTCTACTCAGCTCTGTAACCCCAGCACCTAGCCCAGGCTCTTGGTAAATGTGTCAGTGATGAATGAATGAAGAGAAAATGAATAAATGGACACATGCATAAATCCTCTTATCAAAATTCCCAGGGAATTCTAGGAGTTGGCAGGGAGCAGGGAAAATACTAAAAGCTACTATCAAGCCTGGCTGAACAAGAAATCCCCCACTTTCAGCCTGTAGCCCAGATGAGGTCAAGGGAAGGATTTATAGAGCACAGGATCAGTATTTCATAAACCCTTCCAAATTGCAGAAAAGGCTGCACCTGCCTCCATCCGTCTGCGGCTGCTAATCCGCTGTAACAGCTCTGTGCCCTCCATTCTATCTCCCACTCGGCGGGCAGAGTTATCCTGTGTATTCGCCTTTAATAAGCTGAAGCCATTCGGGCGCTGCATTCATTGGTATCTGCTCCCACCGGGCCAGCCCCATGGGGTCTCCTTGTCAGCTCTCCCAGTGAACAGGGGATTTTGTGTTCAGCAGGGAAAACAAAGCTGTCCCAATAGGGAACCAGTTGGCTCTCTATAGGCTTCTCCAGCGAGAGCCAACAGTGGACACAGACTAGAACTGCTGTCAGCACTGAAGGGTGATTCAGCTGAGCTGAGCAGGGCTCCCTGGGAAGGTCATGAAAGAAGGATGCTTGTAGTCCTGTAACGTCCACCCGGCTGGTTGGCTAGCCGGTTAGCTTGGCTGGTTAAGCCAATGCCAATGAGGTCATGCCTTGGAACCCAATGTTGCCTTTGCTTAGCTTGCCTACAACCCAAATCTAGGCAGCTGTTGGGCAGAATGCACACCCTGGGGCTAAGACTGGGCTAAACTACTTCCTACAAACACACACAAAGCTCCTCAAAGCTCACCACCACTTCCTGATGCCAAAATGGCAACATCATGATGACAGGTGGCCGCAGATGTCCCTGAAGTCAGCAGAGTGATCAAAGAAGATCTACAGTGAAGACTATATGTTGTTACCAAACACTACTCCATTCCCCGCCCAACCAGGCAGATAGACTACATTACCCAGCGACCCCCTTGTAGTTGGGGTGGTCATGTGACTGAGTCTTGGCCAATGGGACACATGTACAAGTGATCCTCAACACTTTCAGGCCCAGTCCATAGGTTTCCCAAGAGCTCCCAATGTTCTCTTTCCCTGACTGTGGCTGGATGCAGAGAAACCCACAATGACAGGCCCTAGAAGATGGCAGAGCCATGTGATGAAAGGGGCCTGGGCCCCTGACTCACTGCTTGGAAGGGAGCCACCCATCCAGGGCTGTGATGGACTGTGGTATAAAGTAAGAAATAGCAGGGCCGGGTGCAATGGCTCATGCCTGTAATCCCAGCACTTTGGGAGGCTGAGGTGGGTGGATCATTTGAGGTCAGGACTTCAAGACCAGCCTGGCCAACATGTTGAAACTCCATCTCTACTAAAAATACAAAATTAGCTGGGCGTGGTGGTGGGTGCCTGTAATCCCAGCTACTTGGGAGGCTGAGGCAGGAGAATTGCTTGAACCCAGGAAGCGGAGGTTGCAATGAGCCGAGATTGTGCCACTGCACTCCAGCCTGGGCAACAAGAGCGAAACACTGTCTCAAACAAACAAACAAAAAGAAAGAAAGAAAAAGAAATAGCTGGACTATACTATCTGAGCTGTTTGTTACAGCACATAATCTTCCCTGACCAATACAGGGTTGTGAGAAGTAGAGAAAGAGTTTGAATTAGGACAATAGTGGGTGCAGCCGTGGTGGTATGCCTGTTATCTTGTCCCAAGGGGCCCAAGTCACTGTTCCCCAGCTTCTAACAGGAGCTGGTAGTGGGTACCAGGAATGGAGCTCAATGGTGCCTCCCACACATATGGCCTCCCTCGTAGGTGAAAGCGGTTAGTCCTTTGTCTGTCAGAGCTGTTTTGGAAGTCTCTCTGGGAGGTCTACATGTGATCTTCCCAGCAAAAGGTCAGATACAGTACTTAGGGATCTGTAGGATCCACAGCTGAGCCTGAACTCCTGGGCTGTGATTCTCTCGCTCCAGTTCCCCTTGGTCTCTGGTCTTCTAGAGAAGAGATGTGAGAGATATCAGTAAGACTGTCATTACTGAGACCAGCTGGACACAGGAGGGAGGACATGGGACCTCAGAGAATAACCACCAGGTTTTTCTACAGTGTAGGGCTCTTGGAGAGTGGACAAAACAGAAACCCACAGATGGTCCCCAGATTCCAGTAAAACTTCCCTTCCCACCAAATCACCTACCAAGTATAGCAGAGGTGGCTGGAGCCCCGCCCAGAGCCCCTTGACTGGACCTGTGCACCCAGCTGCACGCAGCTCACACTTGCACCCTTCTCTGAATGTTTGCCCTTGACGGATGGACACTGCTTTCCCTGGAGATATCCGGGAGGTTATAGGTGCCCTTGCCCATGTAACATAGCCAATGGCTGACTGACTTGGGCAGGTATCACTGCCCAGCCCTTTTGCCTGTAAATATGACAACTTCTTGGATATGATTCCCAAGCTCCCGCGTGATCAGGCTGAGGCTAGACTTCCACTGCAGCCTTGTGTTTTCCCAGTTTCTTCCCCTGCACTCTCGTGCTTCCCTCATGCCCTTACTGGTTTCTCCTGAAAGCACCCCCTCAATAAATCACCCACACAAGAATCCCTGTCTCGGGCCCCCTGAGGTTCTGGGGAGAATTAAAGCCAAAGACAGCAGGGCCCCGATAACCTGGGTGGATGGCTGGCATCCCACCCACAGCCATCAACTAGCCTCAAAGAAGAAGAGGGAAGGGTAAGTCCAGGACAATCCCAAAAGGTCACCACCTTCTTGGAGGCTTCTCTGGTGAAGATAGAAGCTACTGTGAAGGTATCTTGGACCATGGGAAGATTTTTAGATGCTGAAGTGCAACTTCCTAATCCTTGGGCTGAAGGAGGTGGCCTCGTAGGACAGAAGGAAGGCTGGTCCAGGAGACTAGGGCAGGGGAAGAGGGAGGCTGGTAGATGCCTAGCCCAGCTTCAGCCTGAAGAAAATCTTGAAGCAGTCTTCTCTAAAACCCATTTCCCCTTCCATGAATTTCTTTTCTTTTTCTTCCTTCTTTTTTTTTTTTTTTGGACAGAGTCTTGCTCTGTCACCCAGGCCGGAGTGCAGTGCTGTGATCTCAGCTCACTGCAACCTCCACCTCCTCTGTTCAAGTGTTTCTCGTGCCTCAGCCTCCCAAGTAGCTGGGACTACAGGTGCCCTCCACCACGCCTGGCTAATTTTTTATATTTTTAGTAGAGACAGGGTTTCGCCATGTTGGCCAGGCTGGTCTCGAACTCCTGACCTCAGATGATCTGCCCACCTTGGCCTCCCAAAGTGCTGGGATTACAGGTGTGAGCCACCACGCCTGGCCCACGTCATGAATTTCTAATCCCTCTTCAGGAGGAGGAAGCTTTGCTAAGCCTCTGTGTCACTCCATAGCTTCCTGCTTGAAAGGATGGTCTACTTGAAGGACCGTGGTAAAGTGGAAATACCGGTTCTGCCATTGACTCACTGCATGACCTAAGACAAGCCACTGTCCTCCTCTGGGCCTCAGTCTCCCCATCTGTCAGATGTGCAGGCCCGATCGGATGACCTATCTCTAGGTTCCTTCTGGTATTGAGAGCCTGAATTTCACTCTCAGGATGCCTTTTGGACAATGCTGTGCTGAGGAATGTCTGACAACTGGCTCTCTGGGGAACTAAAAAAAAAAAATGCTTTGATTTTACCATTTGTCAACTTCCGAAGTGTAAATATTCCCACCATGGCCAATTTCAAACTCCCAGCAGGACACCCTGAATGCAGAATTGGGAAGAGATGCACAGTCGGCCCTCGTGAGCCAGTGGGAGCAGGTGTGAACAGGTGTGAGCCGGCTCCAACACCACCAAGTTTCACATGCCTCTCTGTGCAAATAATTTCAGATCTCTGCTTCATTCCTGATCTCTACAAATAGAAGGCTTTCTCCTTTCCTTAATCCCACAATACACTGTACTCAAGCAGAGACCACAAAACTGTGCAAATGACACTTGTCACACTCTTCTCTAGGAAGGCACTGACCTCTCTGGAGGGGGGAATGGGGAGGGGCAATGCCCCACTGGCCGCCTCCCTCCTAGACACCAATCTACTGCCCTTACTGAAGCCTGAAGCCCTGCCCTGGATGGCAAAGACAAGGTCCATGAACCATGCCCCAGGGCAGAGGCAGGAGACTTGCATTGTGTGGCCGCACAAACAGCTTTAGGAGCAGAGGGAGAGAGCTGCCGAGAGGAAAATCCTGCTCAGCAGGAGGTGGGGCTGGGGACAGTCTGAGCATAATCACGACAGCCACAGGAGGCGGCAGCTGGTAGCCTCCCTGCCACACCACCACTGTGCTGCTCCTTCCAACTCTGAGGGTCTATGTCCACAAGAGCAAGGCTGCCTGGCGACTGCCTAAACAATGTCCCCACCAATCCATTCTCCTCTTTTCTTTCCTACCCTAGGGTTGAGCACCCTCCTTGGTGCAAATTCCCCACAATTTCTTCAACACAGCCCTGAAAGAACCTCCCAGGCAGCCCCCCATTGCCCGGGTGCTGTGCCCCAGAACACGAGGCTGGCTCTGCACCCCAGGCCCTGCCCAGCTGCTGGCAGCACAGGGGAGGACAGCAGATGGGGTCTGGTGGCCAAAGTGGCCTCCAAAGCAGGCCTTCCCAGGCCCCAGCGATTTTGAGCTGAGAAGGGGCCAAATGTATCCTTTAGCCCAGCTCCTTCATTTCACCGAGAAGACTGGCTCCAGGACTAACAAATGGCTTGCAGAATGCTTTAGCTAGAGTGGGGTGAAATACTCAAAACCCATGATCTCCAGTAAAGGATTGCAGTGATGGTTGTTATTATTTCTTTAAGTCTGGAGCAGTTTTAGATCTGGCAGGGTATTTAAGTAATTAGAGGGACCACTGTGGGTCCTGCTCTGGGGCTGGAGGGGGGCTTTCCTCACCCCAGTTCAGTGGCTGTGAAGATTCTGCCAGGCGAGCCCGCTGCAATAGGGGCAGGAGAGTCTGTACGCTGAGGGCCTCAGGCCAGGTGTGACCCAGTTGCTACAAGTCCCCTCCCACCACAGCCCAGGACCTGTACAGGAATCTGCAAGGGGTTTCAGGCCGAGCTCTGAGCCTGGGCCACCTGGGGGTTCTCTGCATCCACCCCTGCCTCAGCCTAGCTCCACAGCCTGCACTGCCCCACCCCTGCCAGCCTCTGCCAGCAAGGTCGCTGTGACAGCTGTGTGACATGGAGGTGGGTCCAAGGACTCCCATCCTCTCTCTCCCTGACACCTGTCACTTGTCCCGTTCCCATCAGCCATGCTCCTTGATCCCCCAGTGGGAAGAGCTCCCAAGAAGGGCTAAATATTCCGCCCCCACTTGCTCCTCTGGCCTCCCAGCTCATCCCTTTATCCTCCTCGAGGCTGGTGGCAGCTCCACCTGCAAAGGCCCAGAGACAGGGGAACAATGGGGCTCCTGAAACCCACCATGCAAATGGCTTCTCTGTGCTCCTTGGGGTGATGGAGGCCCAGGGTGGAGGGGTGGAGGGGTGGTAGAGCTCGCCTGGCCCTGTTCACCCCCAGCCTGACCTCTGCCCCAGCCCTTTGTGCAGGTCCCGAAAAGGAGAAAGAGGGGAAAAGGACGAGGGGGTGGGGAAGAGGCCAGGGAAAATGAGGGAATGAGGAAGGTGGGGGTAGGGGGTGTAGGAGAGAGAGAGGGAGACAGACAGCAGAGAGTGAGAAAGAAGAGAGGGGAAACTGACTTGTGCAGGCTGCTCAGAAGCAGGTTCTCCTGGCCAAGGGGAAGTAAATGTTAAGCTGAACTCTAGGAAATTGCCATTTTTGTGGGTCTGAAATGGTCACATACAGCAGCAATTCCGCACGGTTTGACCTAATACACACGGGATGTCTGATCTCAAGGCGGAGGGGCAATGAGCAGGTCCCCCCACTAGAAGAGTCCCACGGCCCCTTGGCTTGGGCTCTGGCTTTCTTTCCTGGACCAGAGTTCTAGCAACCTGGGCTGATGTCAGAAAATCTGGGTCTGATCCAGTGGTTCTTAGCCAGAGGCTCCTCTGTCCCCCAAGGGACACTTAATTATCACAACTGGCCAGAGGGTAGGTGCTGGCATCCAGTAGGAAGAGGCCAGGGATGCTGCTTCACATCCTACAGTGCACAGGGCAGCTGCCACCTCAAAGAGATCTCCAGCCCCCAGGTCGACAGTGCTGAGACTGAGAATCCCACGGTTTAAACACCTGAAATAACTGCTGAATGTCTTTCCGTTTCCACACCCTCTGACCCCACCACTCACTCCACGAAGCCACAGGACTGGACGTGGCAGTGCCTCTTCTTTAACGGTAGGTGAAGTTAACAGTGACAGCATGTACCACACAGGGAACACTTTCCATCTTACATTGCCACTTTGCATCCTCGAAAGCAGCCCAGGAATGGCACCCAGATGCATTTCTAAATAGAGTCCTTCATATATCACAACATTGCATAATTTTTTTTTTTGAGACAGAGTCTGGCTCTATTGCCCAGGCTGGAGTGCAGTGGCACAATCTTGGCTCACTGCAACCTCCACCTCCTGGGTTCAAGCGATTCTCCTGCCTCAGCCTCCCAAGTAGCTAGGATTACAGGTGCCTGCCACCATGTCCAGCTGATTTTTGTATTTTTAGTAGAGATGGGGTTTCACTATGTTGGCCAGGCTGGTCTCAAACTCCTGACCTCCAGTGATCTGCCCACCTTGGCCTCCCAAAGTGCTGGGATTACAGGCGTGAGCCTCTGCGCCCAACCTGCATAATGTTTTTTTTTTTTTTTTTTTTTTTTAGTCGGAGTTTCACTCTTGTCGCCCAGGCTGGAGTACAATGGCACCATCTTGGATCACTGCAACCTCTACCTCCAGGTTCAAGTGATTCTCCTGCCTCAGCCTCCCAAGTAGCTGGGGTTACAGGCATGCGCCACCATGCCCAGCTAATTTTGTATTTTTACTAGAGACGGGGTTTCTCCATGTTGGTCAGGCTGGTCTCAAACTCCCGACCTCAGGTGATCCACCTGCCTCAGCCTCCCAAAGTGCTGGGATTACAGGCGTGAGCCACCGTGCCCAGCCGCATAATGTTTTAATAATTAAACCAGCGAGCAAAACAGCTGTGAGGAGACATTTGGGGGAGAACCAAGAAGTGCTGAATATGGACTATGTATCAAATGATATTAAGAAATGCATTGTTAATTTTGTGAGGTATAATAATGACATTGAGATGTTCTCAGTTTTTGGAGGTGTATTCCAAAATATTTAGGGCTGAAATGTCATAACGTCTAAACTTCTTTACAAATATTTTAACAGAAAAGGTAGTTGAAACAAATACCGCAAAATGTGAATTCCTAAGTCTGGGTGATGAGAATGTAACTGTCCCCCATGCTTTTCTCCCTACTTCTCAACATTTTTCAAAATAAAAAGTTTATAATGAGTTGAATCACATTAATTCAGAATATACTAATGTATAGTACAAATTGGAATTTGGGGTACATTTCACTTTAGGTTGTGCTAAGTTTTACCATGGAAAAATGACCAGGCACATAAAAGCTCAGTCCTTTTTTAACATGGTCACATGGGAAATGTGGCTGACTTGAGGAAACGGCTTTTTTTTCTTTTTCTTTTTTTTTTTTTTTTGAGACAGAGTCTCACTCTGTCGCCCAGGCTGGAGTGCAGTGGCATGATCCTGGCTCACTGCAACCTCCGCCTCCAGGGTTCAAGTGATTCTCCTGCCTCAGCCTCCTGCGTAGCTGGGACTACAGGCGCGTGCCACCATGCCCAGCTAATTTTTTATTTTTAGTAGAGACGGGGTTTCACCATGTTGGCCAGGCTGGTCTTGAACTCCTGACCTCAGGTGATCTGCCTGCCTCGGCCTCCCAAAGCGCTGGGATTACAGGCGTGAGCCACCGCGCCCGGCCGAGGAAACAGCTTTCTAAACCGTCAGCTGCATTCAGTTCAGCATGGTGCATAACTAATAAAAGAGCCGGGTTTGTCTCCCGGTGCTGCCCCAGCTCTCCTTAATGCTTTTGGAGAGAATGTGTGGGTTTTATTCTGTATAACGGGAGTTCTCACCCTTGGCACCATCACCATTTGGGGCCAGGTACTTCTCTGTTGCGTGAGCTGTCCTGCGTAACACAAGATACTTGGCTGCATCCCTGGCCTCTACCCACTAGATGCCAGCGACACCCTCCCCAACCCAAAATATCTCCAGACATACAATAGCCCCTGATTGAGAACCACTGAAATCTACAAACAGAAAGAAACTAAGCGAAATGCTCCTGTACAGCAGTCTTTCCACCGATATGGCTAATTCTTCAGGTGTAATGTGTTGTGTCACTTGTTTTTGTCACCTGGCACTATATTTTATCTTTCCATTTAGATATTCTCCCCACATCATTATATGGCTATCCCATTGCTGAGTAACTCAAGCTGTACTCAAAGACACGTAGGTTGTGTCTCTCTTTTGTTATTATAAGCAATGCTGCAATATTCATCTCTGTAGCTAAATTTTGGCACACATTGCTATTTCCTTTGGCTAAATTCCTAGAATTGAACTGATGGGGTCATGGATACCTTTTGATACACAATGCCAAATTACCCTTCATAAAAGTGGCACCAGGTTACCCTCCCACCACCAGAGTAGGTGGGTACCTGCTTCCCCAACCCTTTTCAACACAGAGAATAATTACTTTTTATTTTCCAAACAGTGTCACTCTAATCTCTAATACTTTTTTTTTTTTTTGAGACAGGGTCTCGCTCTGTCACCCACGCTGCCGTGCAGTGGCGTGATAGCTGGGACTACAGGCATGTGCCAACACCCCTGGATTTTTTTTTTTTTTTTTTTTTTTTTTAGTAGCGATAAGGTCTCATTATGTTGCCCAGACTGGTCTTGAACTTCTGGACTCAAGAGATCCTCCCCCGTTGGCCTCCCAAAGTGCTGGGATCACAGGCATGAGCCACATGCTCCATCCCTAATAAGCTTTTAAAAGAGTATTCTTGTTAATTTTTTATTACTAGTAAGTTTAATGCTTCCTATGCATATTGCCATTTGTACAAATTCTCTAAATTTCTAGTTCACTTTTTTAGCCTGATTTCATATTAGGATATCTCTCTTATTGAACTGTAAAAGTTCTTTATTATTGAGGACATTAATCTTTTTGGTCAACCATGTCACATATATTTTTCTCAGCTTTTAGTTTGCCTTTTATTTTGCTTATAGAGATTTCTGAGATACAGAAGTTTTCCACTTATTTTTTGAGATGGAGTTTTGCTCTTGTTGCCCAGGCTGCAGTGCAATGGCACCATCTCGGCTCACCGCAACCTCCGCCTCCCAGGTTCAAGCGATTCTCCTGCCTCAGCCTCCAGAGTAACTGGGATTACAGGCATGCACCACCATGCCCAGCTAATTTTGTATTTTTAGTAGTGACGGGGTTTCACTATGTTGGTCAGGCTGGTCTTGAACTCCTGACCTCAGATGATCCGCCTGCCTCGGCCTCCCAAAGTGCTGGGATTAAAGGCGTGAGCCACCACGCCCGGCTCCGCTTATTATTTATTCAAAATCTTTCCTTTTATGCTTTTTGACATTTGTGTCATGTCTAAAAGGCCTTCCTCACATCAATATTACATTGATATTCATATATATTTTATTCTAGAACATTTAAGGACATATGCTGAAGGTATATAAATCTTTAATCCATTGGTGATATACAGCATATTTTGTTATTATTTTAAAATAAATAGCCGGTTTTCCCAGGACCATTTACTGATTGATTCATTCTTTTCTGCACTGACTCACAGTCACAACTTTACCATATGCTAAGTTCTTATGTTTACATTTGAGTATGTTTCTAGATTTTTTTTTTTTCCAGACACAGTCCTGCTCTGTTGCCCAGGCTGGAGTGCAGTGGCACGATCTCGGCTCACTGCAACCTCCGCTTCCAAGGTTCAAGTGATTCTCGTGCCTCAGCCTCCCAAGTAGCTGGGACTACAGGCGCTCACTACCATGTCCAGCTCATTTTTGTATTTTTAGTAGAGATGGGGTTTCACCATTTTGGCCAGGCTGGTCTCGAAGTCCTGGCCTCAAGTGATCTGCCTACCTCGGCCTCCCAAAGTGCTGGGATTATAGGCGTGAGCCACTGCACCTGGCCTGTTTCTAGACTTTCTACTCAGCATTAGTGATCTCTCTATTCCTACACCAGTACCACACTCATTTAAATAATCCTGTTTACAATATCTTTAAATATCTGGTAGGGCAAATCACCCTCCATTAATCTTCTTTTAAAAAAATTATTGGCAATCCTCACCCATTTATTTTTCTGGCTGAATTTAGGAATCGTGTTTCATGTAATTGGGATTTTGACTAGAATTATGCTAATATACAGATTATTTCTGGGCGAACTGATAGCTTTACAATTTTGGGTCTTGTCTTCTCAGAACGTGGCAAGACCCTCCTTTTCTTCTGTTCTTCATGTTCCTTGGAAAAGTCTTGTTCTTTTCTTTACATATGTGCTGTACTTTATTGCTACATTTATTTCTGTGTTTCATATTTTTACTGGTATTCTAGTTGAGATTTTGTTTCCATTATCATAAAACTGATATGCATTCACTGAGTACTTACTACAGGCCATGCTGACCTTTGTACGTTAATTGTTTAACGGCTCCTTATAGAATTCTCTTATTAGTTCTAACAATCTTCGGCTGATTCTTTGCCAGTGGGGGTTTTGGGTTTCTTTATGCTCACCCATTCTGGGATTAGCTGATTTGTCTGCCCTGTCTCACCCTGGCTACCTTGTGACCCAAGGGTCTGAGCTCTGCTAACTGTTCTCTAGTGCTCACCACCTGTGGCCCTGGTCATGCCAGCTCCATGAGCCAAACAACCACACTCACCAGAACCCCTTTAACTGGCACCTGTAAAAGGCAGTGGCTTTTGACTGGCTGCCCCTCCATGTCTCTTTGGTTTCAGGTCACCCCTCAGTGGATACTTGAGTTTATCTTCTTTCCTAGTAGGATGTTACTACATAGGATTTTTTTTTTTAATTATCTAAAATTGACCAAACAACATAACTTTGGCTGGGCATGGTGGCTCACCCCTGTAATCCCAGCACTTTGAGAGGCTGAGGTGGGCAGATCATGAGGTCAGGAGTTCGAGACCAGCCTGGCCAACATGGTGAAACCCCGTCTCTACTAAAAATACAAAAATTAGCCAGGCGTAGTGGCACGTGCCTATAATCCCAGCTACTCAGGAAGCTGAGGCAGGAGAATTGCTTGAAACAGGAAGGTGGAGGTTGCAGTGAGCTGAGATTGTGCCACTGCACTACAGCCTGGGCGAAAGAGCAAAACTTCGTCTCAAACAAACAAACAAAAACATAACTTCTGTGGGAATGGCATGGTGGCCAACAGCACTCACAGACTCTGCGCCCAGGCAACCACGGCCGGGATCCCAGTGATGCTGCTTGCTAGGGCTCACCCATCTCTCTGTGCCTCAGTTTACTCCTCTGTAAAACAGGGGTCGGGGGGAGATGACAGTACCTAGCTCCATGGGTGGAAGAGATGATTAAATGGTTAATAATGTAGAGCATTTGAAACAGTGCCTAGCACAGAGCAAGCATCTTATGTATATAAATGTTGTCTCCTCCTTCCCTGAGCCAGAATCCATTTATCTTTTATTCTGGGTCTGGTCTAATCTTCTCTCGGGATAACAGTAATCTGATGGTGTGTTAATGACTTCACTGGTCATTTATCTAATGGCTAACCTGGGACAGCCTAACATCCCGCTTCATACCACCCTTTGAAACCAGTGCCTTGGTCAATTACTGGGCCTGTTTACCAGTGGCCTGGGCTGTCTGCACGGTCTCCAGTGATCCCCCCTCCTGTCAGTGGTCTCCTCTGTGGACCCCACAGCTCCCTTTCTCCTATACCAAGAGCACTGAAGCCTCCCTACCTGGGACTCAAGGAACCAGATCCTTCTAAGATGACTCCAAAAGGGGAGAGAGGGTCAGGCTGTGCAGCCAGAACTCGAAGCCATACACCCACAGCTAAAGGGCTGGAAGACGACAGACGACTTCCGCCATCCCCTCCAAAGGTTCCCAGTGAGGCGACAGGAAGACAAGCATGTCCCCCATTGCTGCCTATGCTCCAGTGCCTTGTCTCCAGGACACTCACCCCAGCCCCAGACAAATCAGACTCACTTCACCCTTGGACTCTGACCCAAAGCACTTGACTTTTTTGTTTTTATTTTTTAATTGTGGCAAAATATATATAAGATTTAGCACTCTTTTTTTTTTTTTTTGAGATGGAGTTTTACTCTTATTGCCCAGGCTGGAGTCCAATGGTGTGATCTCAGCTCACTGCAACCTCCACCTCCCAGGTTCAAGCAATTCTCCTGCCTCAGCCTCCCAAGTAGCTGGGATTATAGGCATGCACCACCACATCCAGCTAATTTTGTACTTTTAGTAGAGATGGGGTTTCACCATGTTGGTAAGGCTGGTCTCGAATTCCTGACCTCAGGTGATCTGTCCACCTTGGCCTCCCATAGTGCCGGGATTACAGGCGTGAGCCACTGCACCCAGCCAGATTTAGCATTTTTAAGTGTACAATTCAATGGCATTAAGTCTGTTCACAACATTGTACAACTCATCACCACTATCAAGTTCCAGGACGTTTTCATCACCCAAAAAGGAAAACCTGTACCTATTAAACAGCCGCTGCCCGGCCCCTAGCAACCTCTAATCTGCTTTCTGTCTCTGGATTTGCTTTTGCCGGACATTTCAGATAAATGGAATCATATGATATGCAGCCTTTGGGTCTGGCTTCTTTCAATCAGCATGATGTTTTCAAGGTTCTTCTGTGTTGTAGCACATGTCAGAACTTCATTTCTTTTTTTTTTTGAGATGTGGTCTTAATCTGTCACCCAGGCTTGAGTACAGTGGTGCAATCACGGCTCACTGCAGCCTCAACCTCCTGGGCTCAGGTTACCCTCCCACCTCAGCCTCCTGAGTAGCTGGGACTACAGGTGTGCATCACCATGCCTGGCTAATGTTTTTTTTTTTTTTTTTTTTTTTTTGGAGAGATGAGGTTTCACTATTTTGCACAGGCTGGTCTCAAACTCAAACTCCTGGGCTCAAGCAATCCATCCACCTCAGCCTCCCGAGGTGGTTGGATTATGGGCGTGAGCCACCGCACCTGGCCATTCATTTCTTCTTATGGCTAAATAATAGTCCCTGTATAGATATGCCACATTCTGTGTATCTGTTCATCCGATGATAGACAGGTGAGCTGTTTCCACCTTTTGGCTATCATGAAGTGAAGCTCTTGACCTTTAACTGGTTTCTAGTTCTTACCTCTCTGCTTGGTTCAGGCTCTACCATGAGCTGCTGGAAGGCTGTGACAAGCCCACCATGCAGTTGCCTCAGTTGCTCCCTGCCTCGGGCAGTCCAACTTGTGACTTCCCAAGGTCTTCAAAAGCCCAATCAAGCTGACTCTCCACGCCTGTCCTCACGCCAGCAACTCCCACCCCAATCCCGCCTTTCTGGATGGAGAAGCTGGCTCAACCTCTCATTATACCATGGCATTTGTATTTTTCATGTCAATGTATTGTTTTTTTAATCAAGAACTTTGAACAGTCCCTCCACTGAGTCACAGGCTTTACTGAGATCATCCCATTTAATCCTCACAACAGCCCTAGTGGCAGGGTTGCGATTACCCCATTTCACAAATGAAGAATCCGAGAGAGGGATCAAGTAGCCCTCAGGTGCCCATTTTAGTGCCCTTTTCTCCCTCTTCTCCCTCCCCACAACCCCTCGCTAATGCCGCATTCAAGTCCCATCAACTCATTTTCCTGTATTCACCCAACCTATTCCCTATCTTGGCAAACAAAAGCCTAAACAAGAGAATAATCCATGCTTATCCAGGCTGCAGGTCTACATAAACCCAACTTCCTTCCGTGAAAAAGTGGAGGTGCCGAGAGGCCACCGGAAGTGACTTCTCTAAGGTCAACCCCCACCCCCACCACACAGGCCTGGTAGCACCTGAGTGTGGAGCTTCTCGGAGAGGTTCAGCTGCCGGGCTCTGTGGAGTTTTCCTTTCAGACTACCATCAAGGTAATGTGCAAGGGTGCCCTTGGCAGCCACTCCCACCCCAGGCTGGGGCTGCTGGGGCAGTTAGCCAAAGGTACCAGGTAAGGCCCCGATGGGGTGAGTGCCTCGTGAAGACAGAGTTAGGAGAGAGGACCCGGGATCCCTGTTGGGAGGTGGAGGGAGCCCAGAAGTTGGCTGGCTCCATGCTCCTGTAACCCCAGAGCCCTGGGTCCAGCTTCCACGCAAAGGCAGCTGTGATCCCTCAAACCAAGGAGGCCATCAAAGGCAGCCTTTCTTGCCTCTGGACCTCTTTGCTCTGTTTCTGCTGGAAGGCCCATGGGCAGTGGTGAGGTGGAATCAGCTGCCAAGGGCTCTGAGGGCCAGTCATGCACCTCTCCCAACTTCACATTCAATGACATCTCATTGGGTAGCCAGAAACCAGCCAGGGAGGGAGTATTGACACCAAGGGAAGTGGCAGATGCTACACATTGGCCCCACCTCCTGCCCCAGGCAGTTGCTAAATACTTACCAGCACCTCCGCCCACAGGCCTCTGCCTGGGATGTGGGAGAAGTGGATCCTCAGGGGCGGACCGAGAACAAGCAGGTGCCTCTGAAGAGGAAACCCCAGCAGGAGGAGCTCACTCCTGCCACAGCCAGCCAGGGAGGGAAGGGCCTGTGGAGCACTGGGTCCACCCCTTCATTCTTCCAGAAGGCAGAAAGGAGACGCCATTGCATTGTCCAAGTCCTCAGAGTCAGTGCAGGGCAAACCCCAGGTCTCCTGGCTCCATACCAGACTCCTCCCACCAAACCAAATGGCCACCACAAAACCAAACAAACAATTTGCAAATCAAGAACTCCCCTTGAGTTGATAGGTGGGGAAGGGGTGGTACAGGGAGAGAAGGCAGGTGTCTTTTTTCCTTGAGTGCTGAGGTCTCTACAACCAACAAGTAGGTGAGTGCCAGGGGAGCCTTGGGTACCATGCCCTTTTTGAGTGGGTGGTCCCTCTCTCCTTTCCTCCCTGTTTCCCTCCTGGCCTACCCGGCCCCAGACCCCCACAGACACTACGTTCCTCACCTCCCTGCCCCATGACGGCTTACCAGCTAGCTTTGTGAGCAGGTAAAGAACATTCCCTGAGTGAGCTGGCCCTTCAAGGGGATGAGTTCAGGGGAAGGTTATGTCCATCAGCTTTCAGAACAAATTCTCAGCTTATTAATTCTCCTCTGGTACGCAGGCAAAAGTAAACAAGCTTTTCTCAGGCAGCCTGGCACAGAGGCCTCCCCTATTCAAACACGGCAAGAGTGGACAGGTTTGAGAGCGCTGAGCTCCCGGGCCCCGCTTCCCAGGGGGCCCTCCTGGCCTCCTGCCTGCAATGTCTCAGACGCTGAGACAAGGCATACCCAGCCTCCCTGTGGTAGGAGGCCCCACGGTCCAGCACTTGTGTCCCAGAGATGGCTCCGGTTCTCTGGGGAGAGCATCAGACACCCTGGGCATCCGAGGACCCCCAGAGTAGGGCAGCGCAGGTCTGGTCAAAGCTACAAACATTGCTACAGGCTTCCAACCTGCTCACTCAGCCTCTCTCTGAGGAAGATATTTTATAAGGGTGTTTATTTACTGCTCGCTTCGGTTTAAACCATGCTTTTAAAGGTTCAGAATGAGGAAAGGAAATAAACAGTAACAAAATCAAAAGCAGTCCGAAAAGTTAAACAACTCAAAGAAGACATTTCAAAAAAGGAGGCTGCCAGTGTTTATAAGCGGCTGCTCCGGAATCTTTTGTCTGGCGGAGCCAAGAACCTCGGAAGTTTTATACCAGCTTCTTGTAGCCTATGTAGAAACCTCATGAGATCCCTCCCCTCCACATTTTTCCCCATTTGCCCATTTCTGACTTGGAAGGGGAAAAATTCAAAATCAAGGGTTTGTGGGTTTGTGAGAAACTCAAAGTCAAGCTACAAGGACTAGAGAAATGGGGGGAGTGAGAGACAAAGACGGAGATGGAGAGATAGATCATTGAGGTCTGTCTTGCCCTTGCATGAGCTGTCACACAGCCCCTGCTCGGAAGCCTCAGCCCCCCGCGGTGTGCACAGCCTTAAAATCTTGTCCAGGTGAGTCTCAGTTAGGCAAGGACAAATGTCACATCAAAGAGAGCAAGAATCGAAGTTTCATTTAAGTGTCTTCTACCTTCAAAACTGCTCTCCCCTAGAGCTGAAGTAATTTAGGATGTTCCTTTGAATTGTGCTGTGACAGAGAGAGCTTCCTCATCTCCCACCTTAGCTCTGTCATCCAGTCTCCCTGTCATGCTGCTTCCTTCAATCCCTTCTCTTCGCCATTTCCCCTGCATGGGGCTCAACCAAAAGTCCCTAAAGGCTCTGCAAACAACGCAAGACTCAACTGTCTTTGGCTTTCCCAGAGCTGCCTCTGGCACTCCCTGAAACGCATTTCTGTCCTTTCCTGTTTGCTGGCTGTGGACCATGCCTGTGCAAGTGCCGAATCTGTCTTCCCTCAAGTTTCCAGCGCACTGCCAATACTCTCCAAAATCCAGTCTGTATCCTAAAATATTCAGGGGGCCACATGGGTTTGCAAGCTCCCCCATCCCTCGCTACAGTCCTTTCTGGGGGAGGCAAAGAGTCCCCAGCACCAGCATGAATGTCCATGCTGGGGTGCCCCACTGTCACTTTCTGCCCTCTTCTACCCCAAGTACCAGTACACAAAAGTCCTGTGTGATCCCAGGACCAGGACTCTGGGTGCAGGCCTGAGATGCTCTCAGCAGGGCATCTGGCAGGGCTCGGTACACTCTGAGTGCCGACAGCCAGAGCTATGCAACATTTCTTGTGCCAAGGACTGGTGAAGCCTGTGGACCCTTCCTCAGACAAACATTTCCCCATGCTAAAATAAAATATACAGGTCTACAAAGGAAATTAATAATACTGAAATGCTGCTGCCCAAATATCTTTAAAGACCCAGATTGATGGTATGGTTACGTTACGCGAGTGCTTCTTTATTAATGATTATAAATCAGGATCTAGCAGCAGGTCTAGTAACTTCTGTCGTTTTGAGAAGCAATAACCAGCATGAACGATATTTATGATATCTGCACCAGCTAGAATGTGATGTGTAAACCGCTGTGACTTCCGCCAGTGACCACGGTGCAGGCTTGGCCGCATGCTGCGGTCTGCGGCCTCTCTTTGCCATGGAGGAAATGCTAAATTTTTAGTTAGAGGCGAATGAAAATGAAGATGTGATTCTCCCCCACGCCCAGCTCCTGGGCCCCCTGCATTCTGCTTGTGCGACCCTGTGCCCAAGCCTCCTTCTGTATCCCCAGCATCTGGCTCCTTCCTTCTCTGCAGCCCCAGGAAGGAGTGACAACCCCTCAGCCTGGAAGGTGTTGGGCTGGCGGGCAGCTGGTGGACAAGTAGAAGGAGCTCAGTTTTTAGGGTTCCAGGCTTGGGAGAGAGGCATCATTAAAATCTCCTCCATTTGATTCTCAGAGGGAAAGCCACAAAATAGTGTCCTATAGCTCCAGCTTCTTCAATGCAACCCAGGATGCCACTCATACGGAGCAGAGCCCGGACAGTGGTTAGAGGAGTCTGGGCTTTCCAATGCCCCTTCCCCATTAACCCACCCCACCACCCCACCACCCAGCAAAAGCGGGAAATGAGAAGCGAAGGGGGCCGTTTACCTTCAGGCTCCTCCACGCTGCTGGCTGCAGTCGTCGGCGGCGCTACAGGGATCTCTTTGTGAGGTTCAAGACGGGGGCGAGGGGAGGAGAGAAAACAAGGTAAGACGACATGATTTTTTGACTTTAGAATGAGCCCAGCACAGACTCCTCCCAACTTCCTGGGACCCTCCCCTCCGTTTCCCACTCCTTGGCTCAAGAGGAGAAAAGTCAGAAGAGCAGAAGCTGGCAGCGGCATCCTGGGCACGTGGCGTTTTTCTCCTTTCACCTGGCAGGGGGGTGTGGAGAGAAGGCAGGAGTGAGGCGGCAACACAGAGCCTGGCCTTGCCCCCACCCCCTGGGCCTGGCGTCAACTCAGCTCCACCCTTGCGGGTATGGAGAGAGGCTTCCCCAGGCCACTCTGCTCATCGTGATGTGGCTACCTGGGCCCTGCTCATCTCTAAGCTCAACTCACAGGTGGAGAAGGATCCATGGCAGGATAGCACGCAAGGGGCTGGGAACCTGCCCAAAGGGAAAGGTTTCTCCCACGTGCAGAGAAGTGTTGGCAGCACGGCCCAGGTTCCTACAGCCTCACATCTCAAGCGCTAAGGCATTTTCTTAATGGGCAGAATGGGACTGAGAGTGCAGATCCAAGGGCCTCATAAAAGCATGTGATCGTTTTGATTATTCTCTATCTAATATAGCACTCTGGCCAGGTGCAGGGGCTCACATCTGTCATCCCAACACGTTTGGGGCCCAACACGTTTGGGGAGGATGGCTTGAGGCCAGGAGTTTGCAACCAGCCTGGCCAACAAAGCAAGACCTTGCCTCTACAAGAAATAAAACAAATCAGCCAGGCGTGGTGGCACGCACCTGTAGTCCCAGCCACTCAGGAGGCTGAGGCAGGGGGATTCCTTGAGCCCAGGAGTTTGAGGTTGCAGTGAGCTATGATGGTACCACTGCACTCCAGCCTGGGCAACAGAGCAAGATCCTGTCTCAAAAAGTATATATAATAATAAATATTTAAAAAGCAGTTGGTTCCTACTACTTCCCAGACCCCACCCTGTGCTCAAGAAAAGAGAGGCGGTTCAGCCAGTCCCCACTGCTCATCGGTTCAGCAGCCTGGCACTGAAGCTCAGGCTTCCTCTTTCTGAACAAGGCCAAACCATGGACCAGGAGTCCCTAAGAGGAAGGGACTCACTTCCCCTGGTGAGTGACCATGAACCCCACTGACTCTAGCCACCATCTGATTCTTTGCGGTAAAACTCTGACTCCCTAGATTCTAGATGAGCTAGGACTTGAGGCTTGGTGGATGGACATGGGCTACTCAGGCCGGGGGCAAATCTGAGAGGCACCGGAGGCATCCTCTGCTCCTTTAGGAAGAACAAGTGGGGGACACAGCCCTCAATTTGGGGTCAAATCTTGCTCCCAGGCAACTGTATTAGCAACAACAAACCATAGGTGCCCTGTCACAATGGGTTATTAGGAAGCTGGCCCTAAAAAGCCACCTGGTCCCAGCAGGAACATCCTGGAGGCAACATCTGAATGGTCCAGTCTAATCCTGCAAGTCCACAAATGGAGCCGAAGCCAATGGCCACAGAGTCATTGTGACCACCCAACCTCAGTGCCTGAGGTCAGCCTGGCTCTGGGATGCACACACAGGGCCCATGGCTGCCCAAGCTGGGACAAAACAGGGCACGAGTCCCCCAGGCACTGTCTGGGCACCTGTAGCTCTTCCCTCGGGAAGAGCAAGCGAAAATTCCAGGATGGAGCCCCAGGTTGTCCAAGGAGGGACAATGCTCTCGCCAGGCATCAGCCCGCCCTTTGTTAGAGGAGGAGAGAAGGCACAGGCTGGGAAATGAGAGTTCCCAAGGCTTCAGCCTCTGATTCAGAAACACCAGCTCTCGTGTCTAGGCTTGATTTTTCCACCTGGGAATTTGAAATGTTGGTTCCAACCATTTCTGAGCAACCTGAGAACTCCTAATTCCCTGACGGGAGACCTCAGCTTTCCCCCCATGTTTTCCGAACCCCAGATTTCCTCCCAGCTGTCTAAAAATGTTCACCTTGCAGAATCTGGATGGACAGAAGGATTTTGACAAACTGTGAGGCTGACAATTGGAGGTTGTTGTGAAGCTATTTCAACCTGCTCTGCCCTGGATGGGTGCTGAGCCCCCTCTACCAAGGCTTGGACCCTGGTCATTTGCTATTAGCGAGCCCCTGCGAACAGCTGTACGGAACGCCTCAGGGTTGCTATCATCCTTCATTAGGGACACAGGTGCCGTGCATGGAAGCCCTGCCCAGCTCCTCTCGAAGGCCCTGGGCTGTCCGTCCTTTCTGTTCTGAACCCACCAGGGGCAGGGGGAATGCCGGCATTCCGGCAATAGTGACAACAGCACTCCTGGAATGGGCCCACCCAGATCCAGGGTCCAGGTGGACAGTGAGAATGGGGCCAGTGCTGAGGAGAGGGGCTTGCTTTTCCCCAGAAACAGGAGACTCAGTGTTTGTCAGGATAGACAGCCTCAGACAGGCTGGCTCTGCTGAGCCCCCAGTGGCTTCTGCAAGAACTCTATGAGCTTGGGGGGTCTCCCACGTGGACTCACTGAGCATGAGGCCTTGAATGCAGGAATGCACATTGAAGACAGAACCCACTGAATGGGCCAGGCGCGGTGGCTCATGCCTCTAATCCCAGCGCTTTGGGAGGCCAAGGTGGGTGGATCACCTGAGGTCAGGAGTTCAAGACCAGCCTGGCCAACACAGCGAAATCCCATCTCTATTAAAAAGACAAAAATCAGCGGGGCATGAAGGCTTGCGCCTGTAATTCCAGCTACTTGGAAGACTGAGGCAGGAGAATCACTTAAACCTGGGAGGCAGAGGTTGCAGTGAGCTGAGATCGTGCCACTGCACTCCAGCCTGGGCGACACAGTGAGACTCAACCAACCAAAAAAGGAACCCACTGAACATCAGTGACTAGCATCCTCAAAAGCTCACTGTCCCCCACAAAGCCAGAGACTTGAAAAGCAGGGTGCCCCACACATACTTATGCAGGGGGCGATGGGAGAGCGGCTCTGCTGGTAGCCTTTGGCGCAGCGGTTGCAGGTGATACCCGTCACGCCGTCCTTGCAGGGACACTGGCCGGTGGTTTGGTTGCAGGTTTTGCCAGCAGCACCCACAGGGTGGCAATCACAGGCTGCAGAGAACACAAAATGGGAGGGTCAGACAAGGGGGAAGCGGCCAGTGCATCCCCGCAGAGCCTTCCCTACCCAGGGCTGCCTCCATGGACCCTGCCCTGGAGGAAGAGCAGCGATGGGGAGCAGGCCCAGCCAAGCCCAAACGCACTCCGGAAGCTCTGACACTGGCCACCCACCTACCTGGAAACGGAGAATAAAAACCAAAATGGACCGACCTGAAGAGACTGCTTTGGCAGCAGGAAAGTGAAATGCAGAAGCCCTTTGGAAGCCCAGGAGGAAGGCTTTCAAATACCTTCTCGGGAAGGCAGAGCCCGTAGCCCTCATCACGCCTGGGTGGAGGAGTCAGGATCGGGGGATACACCTTCCCTTGACAGGGTCGGCTTATGCGTTTTCACTCTGTCCTCAACCAGCTCCCTGCCCCCAAGTTTTCTTGCCAACCCAGGGCATGGGAGGAGTGGGGTTTGAGGCCTGGTGAAGCTCTGGGGTTTGCCAGGTTAGAGGGAGTCACAGGGAGGGGTGGCTCCCCCAGCTGCTGCCCCCCAACACCTGACCCTACTTTGCAGCCAGGCAGCCTTCTGAATCACAAAACCCATAAACTGTAGCACTAGAGAGGGTCACGGTGATCATTTAGCTTAAAGCCCTGATTAAATGTGCAAACAAAGACGGGAGAGGTAAAGGAAACTCCCAGAGCCTCACAGGAAGGGAACGGCCAGGCTGGGAGCTGAAGCAAGGCCCGGGATTCTCAAGCCAGCAACTACGGCTCCACAGAGCAGGCCCCCCACCCTCCTCCTGGGCTTGAAAGGGTGGAGAGGTGGGGTTGCCCACCCTGTCATGCTTCACGGAGGCTCTGTCGCTGTGTCCCAAGAAGCCAATTCTGGTAAGAGAGTAGCCACAGGACCTCAGGAGGATGTCCCACCAACACAGATGCTCAGGGCAAGAACAGCTATACCTGTAGGCACAGGACACCAGCGTTCCCTGCTAAGTCCTGCCTCCCTGAAGCTAGGCGGTGGCCTCAGAGTGTGGTGGGGAAGGGGAACACCGAAGGAAGAAGGCAAATGTCCTGCCCATGCCCCATCCTGGAGGCTGGAAGTGGGGAGTCGTCTGCAGTAAGGCGTCCGGCAGCAATTCCAGGTGTCCCCTCGTGGCTGCTAATCTGTTCCTCCTCCAAAAGGACCAAAAAACCCAAGAATGCAAGTGAGAGCAGAGGCTCTGAAGCAGCCAGATTAGAACTTCCCAGCAAGCACTGCTGGGCGTGAGCACGGGAGTCTGTGGCTCAAAACACGACCTCTCCCAGCCCAGCCGGCCTCGGGCCCAGGAGTGGCCAATGAGGAGAATTAGGAAGAGGAGGGAGGGAGGAAGGTGGAGAAGAGAAGAATGTGAGGAATTGTTTGTTGAAGTTGTGTCTGGACATGCAAAACCTCCTGGAATCACTCAGAGTGAGGGTCCCAGGGCTGGGGGTGCCCCCATCAGGTGGGAGGAGGGTGGGGGCACAGGCCCTGGCACGGGGGCAGCCTACAGGGCTCCCTGCCTGTAGGCTGATGGAACTGCTCCAGTCTTGCTGCTGCTTCTTATAGATAGAAGTAATGCTGGGTTGTTTTTCTTTTCTTTTGAGATGGATTTCACTCTTGTTGCCCAGGCTAGAGTGCAATGGCGTAATCTCGGCTCACTGCAACCTCCGCCTCCCGGGTTCAAACGATTCTCCTGCCTCAGCTTCCCGAGTAGCTGGGATTACAGGTGCCCACCATCACACCCAGCTAATTTTGTTGTATTTTTAGTAGAGATGGGGTTTTAACACGTCAGCCAGGCTGGTCTCGAACTCCTGACCTCAGGTGATCTGCCCGCCTTGGCCTCCCAAAGTGCTGGGATTACAGGCGTGAGCCACCGCGACCAGCCAGAAGCAATGCCTTTTGTTAGGAAATTGTCTTCTTAGATGTACCCTAAATTCAAGTTCATTCTCTGTTGTTTGTCTCTCTCGACAGTAAGAAAAGATCCAGCCTTGACGGCCCATGGAGACGTGCAGAAGAGGCGGCGGCGAGGAGGGGAGGCTGGAGAGGGTCTCTGACCTTTCCCTATGGTCTCTTAAATTCGTCCATGGTAGGAAGGGAGATGGAGCATGGGCAGTGCCTCTAAGTCGGCCGTGCGAATGCAAAGGGCCACAGCACAGGCTCCTACTGTCTTCGAAGCCCCTGATGCAAGCGTGAGCATCAGGGCCTCAGGCCGGCTGACCTCCCTTAGCCAGCTGGTAATCCTAAGATTCATGCCAAGACATTCTCCCCTCCGAGCTGATGGAACACAGCTGTGCACCAGTAACTTCTGGATCCTTGGATTTGGCTGAAGGGAGGTCACCAAAGGTTGCTCGGTCACTGCACGTTCAGAGCCAAGTCACACGTGGACACCCTCATTGGCCCAGGTTGTCTTTATCTTGGCAGCGGCCGACCCAGAGCAGACTCTGGGTGGAGTCAGGATGGTGCATTGTTCTCCCCCACAGCCGGTGACCCGCTTAGCTGCCTGGGCTGGCACCAGCTGAGGTCTGGCGGAGTGAGGGCCGTCCCCGGTAATGGCAGGGCCACTGTGTCTGCTGGGTGCGGCAGACGCTTCCTAAGGGCCCACTCTTTGGTTCAACATGAGCTGATGCTTGCTCCTGGGTTTCCAAATCTTTCTGAGATTCTGCAAGAATCTGACCTATTCCTCTGGTTTATGGAGGCAGCGGGCTGACTTGTGTTTCCCCACCAGCAGATCATTGTTCTAGGAAGGGAGGCAATCAGGGTCCCAAAGGGGCTGCCCAAGGCAGAGTATTCTTCAGCAGTAGCTGCCCCGTGCCAACTCCTGCAAACTCCTTAGCACATCCACACTCTCTCATACGTGTCGAATCCCTTGGTCCTTGCGACAGCCCTCTGAAATGCGCGTGACAGCACAGAGGAGGCCAGGGACCAGAAAAGACAACTGCAGGAGAAAGCTGGGGGCTGTGCGGAGAGGTGGAAAGAGCCTGGATCTCTGAGGGAACTACCCTTTCTAAATGGCCCCCTTTGTATTTCTTGTTCTGCAAGGAGAAATAAGCTCCTATCTTATAATATGATGTGGGTTTTCTGTTACCTGTACCCAGTGCAATCCTAACAGACTTGCCTGGAATTCATTCTCAATCTCCAGCCAAAGGAGATTACCCAAAGAACTTTTCCTAAAAATTCACAAATCGAGATGGCCCCCATTATACCCTGTGCAAAGTCTGAGTTTCAAGGTGTAGGGAGAGTTGACAGATGGCAATGCCATACTATGGCCTGGAAAGGGAGAATGTGACTGGCAGTGCCAAAGGAAGAGAGGCTGAGCCCAAGGGAAGACTCAGGCCCTGGCCTTGAGGAAGAGGAAGTCAAAAGCATCCTGCTGTAGTCCCTTGACCCTGAAATATACACAGACACAGACACATCAAAGTTCCTACTAACACACAGAGACTCACACATATTCCCAGAAACACACAGATACAAGCAGACTCCTACTAATTCTCCCTCCCTCGCTCTCATCTACATACATTGACTCACAAACACACGGATTCTTATCTACAAACTCACCCACGCACAGACATATACTCAGATCCACAAAGCCACACACACAGACACAGACACACAGGGCCACGGGGGGGCAGGGGAGGGGAGGTGTGGAGTGAGCTGGGGAGAAGGTGGCAGTTAGGTGAGTGGAGGTCTTTTCCTTTGCAGGGGAGGTGGTGGGGGTGTCTGGTGAGGGAGACAAAGAGAGAGCCTCCCTAATTCCTCTGAGAACGTGGTCTGGGTCAGAACATCTTCCGCCATAGGAAGCCGCTGGGTGGCTCCCATGTCCCTGGAAGTCAGCCACTTTTTTCAGAGGGAGGTCAATCCCTTCCATGGCAGGTCACCCCGTGTGCAAGGAGCAGGCAGCACCTGGCCATGGGAAACAATCAACCCGGGGATTTTTTCCATAAAGAGAAAGGTGAGGCCAGACGGAAGCCCAGGTCCCTGAGAACACGGCAAGATCAGGTTTCCCATGAAACCGCAGGCTGGAGAGCCTCCCAGTGAAGCAGAGAACCCACGCGGTCCTTGCTCTGGGTCATGAGACAGGGACAGACAGCTCAGGTGACCCACGCGCTTTCAGACAGGTAAGAGGGGATCCAGGTCTGGCGCCCCACCCTCCCAGTGACCCTGGGTTAGTGCCTTTCTCTCTCTGGACCACCGGTGGCTCACCTGTAAGGACAGAGGTCTCCCTCTAAAGTCCCACTGAAGTGACTTACAACTTAACAGGCTAAGGTTTTTGCCTCCCTGCTGGGTCCAAAGGAACCAGGGCAGCAGCCCCCACCCTTTGACCATCGCCCCTTCTGCTGCCGTTCCTCAGTGTCTTGGCAAGAGGGCAGGGGAAAGGGCTCCTGTTGCAGGGCACACCGGGCCTTCCGTACACCCTTACTGCTGGCCCTGCCTGCACCAGCACCCACCTGCATGGTGCCAGAATCTTGTTGAGATTTGGTTTGTCGGTGAAGAGAGGGAGTACCCAGGGACTTCCGAGAGCCCTGGCAAAGCTGACCTGGATGGCAGGTGGTTCTCATCGTCAGTTTCTTGTGCCCAAGTAGCTGCCTTTTCCCACTCCCTCTGACACTCTCTGAAGGGATCCCTGAAGGCTCCTGGGCTCTGCCAGGGAGGAGACACACTCCTGAGCCTGGCACCCTTTCCACTGAAGCACATACTAAGGCTTTCCAGAAGTCTGTCCTGGGCTCCTATCCAGAGGTCTGGCTACTTTTCCTGAGGACTCTGGCTCCAGGGGCTCTTGAGGTCAGGCAGGACCTTCAAATGGCAGTGATCCAAGGCCACGTGCCCATAGAGGACAGGAAAGCCAGCTGGGCATGAGCTCCTCTGGAGCAGCTTCAGGTAGGACAGGGGAGACAGAACAGCCACAGCCCCACCCTCACTTCAGACACCACCACAGCCACCACCCAGGCCTCTGGCCAGTCCTGAAGTTCCGCTTCTGGCCTGACCTTGTGCTATGGGCTAAACTGTGTACTCCCTGCCACACACAATGCTGATGCGGAAACTCTAATCCCCAGTACCTCAAAGTTGGATGTATTTGGACATAGGGGCTTTAAAGAGCTGATTAATTTAAAGTGAGGTCACTGGGGTGGAACCTGATCCAACATGACCGGTGTCCTTATTAGAAGAGGGCATCGGGATACAGATGAGTGCAGTGGAAAGACCCTGTGAAGACACAGGGAGAAGACGGTTATCTGCAAGCCAAGGAAAGAGGCCTGGAGCAGATGTTTCTTGGAACAAAACCAGCCCTGCTGACACCTTGATCTTGGACTTCCAGCCTCCAGAACTATGAGACATAAACTTCTGTTGTTTAAGCCAATCAGTCTGAGGCACTTTGCAGCCTGCACTGACTAACACACCTGTGTGGAGCCTCAGGTAAGCATCTTCTTCTCCAGGACCCTCCTAGGCCTGTCCTGTACTCATGGGAAGGAAGACTGCCCCACCACTCCACCAATCAGCTCTTTCATCCCCTGGCTCCCTGTGGAAGTCACCACCTTTGCTGGAAGAGGAAAACCTTCTCCATGGCAGGCCATGTCTCTGAGGGTCCCCAAAACCCCCACAGGCCAGCAGAGCAGCTCTCAGCTTCCATGATCTTTAGAGCCCCTGCTGGCTCTGATTCCCAACAGGTCTCACAGCTCACAGACCATCTGAGGGCTGTTCTCAAAAGGGCACTGGCAGAGGCCTTGAGCAGGAAGTGCTGCAGGTCCTAAGAGCCCTCAGAAGGCTGGCACGAGGTCAGAGAAGGGAGGCCGGCCCCATCAGCAGCCCCCTCCTCACCTGTACAGCAATGCAGGGGGTGCCCTCTGTTCCAGTCCAGAAGAAGAAAGGGCTCACACAGCAAGTGCTGAAGGCATCCCTCCCAAAGTCTGATGGGAAACTCCCTTCCTAGTCCTCACAAGACTTCCAAGGGACAGAGGAATGCAACAGACAGAGAAAACACCCTGCCCTGAATCCCGGGACATTGCCCCAGCAGTGAATGTGGAAATCTTGCCAAGTTTCCCCAGGGAGGGCTGAACCCTGGAGCCAATTGTGAGGCTCCATGTGACTCCAAGTCCTACAGCTCATGCCAAAGGGCTGCATCTGCCTGTGGCCCTCCTGGGCTGGGGGAGACAGTCTTCTCTGCTTTGAGTAGTATCAGTCTGCATAGGTGGACGCCATCCACAAAGAACGTAGGGGTAGACGAGGCCCTGTGGACAGGCCCCACGGCGTGGGCCAGGCTGCTCCCTGGCTGCTGTGGAGGTCAGGGAGGTCGACTGCAGCAGCTTGCTTGGTGCAGTGAGGACAGTCCAAAGAGTCAGCAAGGGCCAGCATCTTCAGAGAAAAGCAGGATCCAGAGGCTCCCCAGGTCCCCATATCTCTGGTGGGTGTCAGGCCTCTTGGAGGAAGCCTGGTGGGACCCTCACTAGAGGTGACACTGGAGAGAAGATGATGTCAGGGACAGAGGTGTCCAAGCACCCATTTCTTCCCCACTCCCCAAAACAGGAGTGAAGGATCAGCAACCAAAAGAAGAAACACAGGAAAACCAGCAGGGCATTCTGGAATGGAGCGGACCTAATGTAAGGTGGCGGCGAAGACACCAGGCAGGCAGGGCTTTTGGGGGCAGGGCAGACAGAGAGACCAGGGGAGGGGAGGGAGTGCTGACCCAGGGAGACTGGTCTCTAAGTGAGTTCAGAGCTTTGAGGTATGGGAGATGGGGAACAAGGAGGCCCAAAGACGCAGTGTCAGAGAGCCCTAGGGAAGGAGTTTCTTCTTATTGCTATTATCATTTAATTTGCATAGAGTAAAATTCACTTTTTTTGGTGTAGTCTTATGGGTTTGTATCATGTGCATACATTTTTTTTTTTTTTTTTTTTTGAGATGTAGTTTCACTCTTGTTGCCCAGGCTGGAGTGCAATGGTGCAATCTTGGCTCACTGCAACCTCCGCCTCCCAGGTTCAAGTGATTCTCCTGCCTCAGCCTCCTGACCTCAGGTGATCTACCCGCCTTGGCCTCCCAAAGTGCTGGGATTACAGGCATGAGCCACCGCTTCCGGCCTCATGGTAGTTTTAACCTGCAGTTCTCTAATGACTAAGGACGTTCCATGTATTTATTTGTGATCTGCCCGTCTTTGATGATGTTTCCATTCAAGTGTTTTGCCCATGTTTAATTGGGTTGTTTGTTTCCTTGTTGTTGAATTTTGAGAGTCATTTACATCTTTGATATTCAAGTCCTCCATCAGACGTGGGATGTGCAAGTATCTTCTCTTCATCTGTGGCTTGTCTTACAGAAGGAGCTTCTCTTTTTTTGAGACGGAGTCTCGCTCTGTCGCCCAGGCTGGAGTGCAGTGGTGTGATCTCGGCTCACTGCAAGCTCCGCCTCCCGGGTCACGCCATTCTCCTACCTCAGCCTCCCGAGTAGCTGGGACTACAGGCACCCACCACCACGCCCAGCTAATTTTTTGTATTTTCACTATGTTTCCCAGGATGGTCTCGATCTCCTGACCTCGTGATCTGCCCTCCTCGGCCTCCCAAAGTGCTGGGATTACAGGCGTGAGCCACCGCACCCCGCCTAGAAAGGGCTTCTTAAAAGGTTAGCCTGGCCAGGCGCAGTGGCTCACATCTGTAATCCCGGCACTTTGGGATTACCAGGTGGGCGGATCACCTGAGGTTGGGAGTTCGAGACCAGCCTGACTAACATGGTGAAACTGCATTTCTACTAAAAATACAAAATTAGGCAGGTGTGGTGGCGCATGCCTGTAATCCCAGCTACTCGGGAGGGTGAGGCAGGAGAATCACTTGAACCCGTGAGGCAGAGGTTGTGGCGAGCCAAGGTCACGCCATTGCACTCCAGCCTGGGCAACAAGAGCGAAACTCCGTCTCAAAAAAAAAAAAAAAAAAAAAAGTGAGCCTGATATATTACTCAGTTAACTCTTCTCCTTCCAGCCTTCCAGTGCTCTGAGAATGGGACCCAACTCCTCTCCAGACACCAAGGAGCTGACTCTTCCCACCCCTTCCTCCCTCTCTTCCCTTCTGACCAAGGGCCCACCAAGCCCTTTCCTGCTTCCAGACTTTGGTTCTTCCTGGAATGTTCTTCCCTCAGCTTCCTTGTGGCTGTTTCCTCCCCACACCCCAGGTCTCATCTCAGATGTCCTGTCCGCGAGAAGCCCCTCCAGGGCCACCTTGTAGCGCAGCTTGCCCAGTTACTCTCTCCTTCCACCCTGCTGCTTTCCTCCATGTAACTCACCACAATCCATCATTATCTTCCTTTTTCTTCTTTGTTTATTGTCAACCTCCCATCAAAAAGCAAGCTCCAAGGGCCCATGTCTAGCATGCAATAAGCGTTACACAAACATGTGGTGAATCAAATGAACAAACAATCTTGTTACCAATCTGGATGTAACTCAGGCCAATCTGCCGTCCTTTCCTGGTGGGGAGAGGGGGGCATGTTGCTGCCCCTGCACATCTGGAGGAAAGAATGAGGGGGCAGGTGGGATGACAGTCCCCTCACATCCTAGGTCATCCGCAATCCAATGCCCCTGCACTCTCCACTCTTACATTCTCTGTGTTAACAAGGGAGGGAGGATCACTGAAATCTGAAGATAATCCCCAAACGTCATTTCAGCTGTCTGTGTCAACCTCCTCTGAAGCTATGCTTTCCTTTGCCCCAGCAGTTGCTAACGAGGCACAAAAGAATAAATGTTTCAAGTTGCACAACCTATCCTTTCCCTGCCACTTTCGGATCAAGGTGCAGGCGGCAGGAAGTTGGGGGGAGGGGAGCCCCGTAATCCCAAACTGGGTTATTTGACACTCCGTGATCTAGTTAACTATAGTCTTCCTGCACCTGTTTTACAGCCAAGGAGAAAAGACAGGTCTTGCAAATGATTCCCAGTGTGTGTGTGTGAGTGTGTGTGTGTGTGTGTGTGTCACAAGAGCTTGGGGCAGGAATAGGGCTGTACGACACAGTGGGGCAGGAGCAGGAACCTGGGTCCTGTGTCTGTGCCACAGGTGAGGCAGCTCAGGCCAGCTCAGGCCTCCCAACAGCCCTAAGTCCCAGTCCAGTCAAGGAGTCCCTCAGATGCTGCCTGGTCTTCCTTGGCACTTCCAGAGCCAAATCTGGATGTGCACAGCCCGCCCCCACCTCTCTGTGCTGGGTCTCCACAAGCAGCTGCTGGGCACATCTCTGCCCTTCGACTTGTCATCTTTGCTCCCAAAGCATGGAAATCCTTTATTGAGAGTGTGCAACAGCATTAGGGCCAACCCCTGGGGCCCTGCCCAGTCCTGTGGGAATTGGCTGCCAAGTCCACACTGGGGCTGAGCCCTTCAAGCAAGAGGGGCCGGTTCTCCTGAGGGCCACCACTCACCGAAAGAACCAAAGCAACCAGAGGGTCAAAGAAAGTGTCTCTGCTTTGTGTGTGTGCTGACAATGGCAGAGGGTTCTAGTGTTTCTGTTTTCTCTGACTTGCACAAATAATCATAATAGCTGCCATACATGGAACGCATGCTACATGCCCGGACATCCTCCACATCATCTCATTTAATCTGCACCATAGCCCTAGGAGGGAGGAGGGACTATTCTTCCCATTTGCAGATAAGAAAGCTGAGGCTACTGAGAGTAAATGTCTTGCCTCCAGAGGTGGAGCCTGAACTGTGGTCTGAATAACACCAAGTTCCATGCTTTTCAAAGCTCTGCATCCCAAACCTGTTTACTATCCCCGTGCCACCTGCCCCCGGCCCCATAAGTGCTCTCCTGGCAACAAAAAGCCCAAAAGACACTATTTCCTCAAGTAAAATGCCCTTAACGCTCTGGCCAAACCCAGAACTTCCGTTAACTTGGGGAGCTCAATGATCAGGAGTCTTTTCTGCTCAAGCACAGGAACCCCTGGAGATCCTCCAGGAATTTCTTTTTCTTTTTCTTTTCTTTGAGACGGAGTCTCGCCCTGTCACCCAGGCTGGAGTGCAATGGTGCGATCTCGGCTCACTGTAACCTCTGCCTCCCAGGCTCAAGCGATTCTCCTGCCTCAGCCTCCCGAGTAGCTGGGATTACAGGCATGCGCCACCACACCCGGCTAATTCTTGTATTTTTAGTAGAGACAGGGTTTCACCATGTTGCCCAGGCTGGTCTCAAAATCCTGACCTCAGGTGATCCACCCGCCTCAGCCTCCCAAAGTGCTGGGATTACAGGCGTGAGCCACCGCACCCAGCCAATCCTCCAGGAATTTCTATGTGGCATTTGGGGACAAGAGTGGTCCTGAGAGATCAGAGAACTCACATCCAGGGAGGTGAAAACATGGATGGGCCAAGGGTGTCCAGGGAATGAGCACAGCTGGGCCAGGGAGACCCCGTTTGGCACAGTGCGCCACATGGGTCGAGTCACAAGATCAGGGACTCTTTTCATCTGTAAAGACTGCAGTCAAACCACCTCCACCTAATTTCCTGGCTCTACCAGCTTTTCTGAGTCACCAGATCACAAACTTCACTGCTACAAAGAATTGTCCTATTGTATCAAGTTCTCCTAAGAGGTTGACTACTTAAGAAGCATGTGGAATGTGGAATGTCAAAGCTGGAAGGGATTCAGAGGCCAGCAGCCTGACCATAATCCCACAGATGAGGAGACTGAGGTCTAGAGAGGTCACCAGACTTATCTGATACCCTGTAGACTGAACATGGAGCCAAATACGTAGGTAAGGTTTGTGATGCTCATGTCTCCCAAGGGAAAAGATGCATCCACACAGATCACAGTTGGAGTGAAACTCTTCCACTGGGAATTCTCTCTCCCAAATGCAGTATCTAAGGTGTCAGTTTCTCCCAGTAGGTACTAACCTTACCTGGCCATAATGAAGCCCACTCCTTGCCTTGGGGTCTCTGTCCTCAAAGCTGGAGCCGCTCCAGCCACTAAGTACCTTCCTGCCTCAGATGACCAACCCTTTTCCCTGCACCCCCCACAAAAAAACATGAAAGTATAAATACAGGTAATGGAAATGTGACAGGGGACCCACATATTCAAAGGGTGCCCGAGGCTTTTATAGGGTGGGTGGACAATGCCTTAGAGTCAGGAAGACCAAGAAGGGTGGGGGCCCAGGAACTTTGCTTTGCTGTGAATAAATCCACAAATGATCAGATCTAAACACACATATTCACACACACACGTGCAAGCACTATCTATCTGGCACTGATGACTGTCTGATCTTGTGCCTTAATCAGGCTACACTAGCTAAGCTCCCAGCCTTGCCCAGTAAGATTTTTTTTTTTTTTTGAGACGGCGTTTCACTCTCGTTGCCCAGGCTGGAGTGCAATGGCGCAATCTCGGCTCACTGCAACCTCTGCCTCCTGGGTTCAAGCAATTCTCCTGCCTCAGCCTCCCAAGTAGCTGGGATTACAGGCATGCGCCACTGCGCCCGGCTAATTTTGTATTTTTAGTAGAGACAGGGTTTCTCCATGTTGGTCAGGCTAGTCTCAAACTCCTGACCTCAGGTAATCCGCCCGCCGTGGCCTCCCAAAGTGTTGGGATTACAGGCATGAGCCACCGTGCCCGGCCAGGATTTTTAAATTTAAAAAATTTAAATGCCCAACCTCCCAGTTATCATCAAGATAATCATAAAAAACATTTAAATTCATTGATGATCAATCTATCTCCTCAAAACAATAAACCTGGGGTCTAGGCTGCCTACAAGTCTTCCCTTAATGCCACCAAGAGCAACTCACCATCCTCATTTCTTATTCTCTGTGGTTCTCAGTGTTGGTTACACATTAGAATCTCCAGGGGAGCTTTTCCAATTCCAAATGCCCAGATCGCATCTGGACCCATTAATTAAACCAGAATTTCTGGGGGTGGGATCCAGGCGGCAGTATTTTCAAATCTCCCCAAGTGGTTCCAATGTGCAGCCAAGGGTGAGACTCACAGCATAAGTTACAGACAAATAATGCTGATGACGCCATACAGTGAAGGTGGAGAATCACGAATGAGAAAGTCATGGGGAGTCCCCTGCACACAGTGACCCAAGGAAACAGAGGGGGCAAGACTGTGGTGTTCATTTCCTCCCCATCCAGCAACTCTTGGCTGAGCTGCTGAAAGAAATAAGGGGTGGACGGAAGTAGCAAGAACGTCCTAGCAAAGATGTGAGGACGATTGCATGCTTTTGCCCTGGCTAATTATTGCATCTTCTTGCTTGGGACTCAAGCACCTTCCTAGCCTTCATTCAACCACACGAACTGTGGGCTTGAAAGGGGGAAAGACAATGAGAGAAGGAAACAGGCAGCTCAGTGAGATGGAAATGCAAGCCCTTTGTATGGGGATGCTGGATGCAGTGGTTAATTTCTTAATTCTCATCACAATTCGGTTCACGGGAGACTCCTGGAATGTCTTTATCCATCACAGATGGTTTGGGAAAATGATAAATTAATATTGTTATCAATGGGGGCAGGGCCGAAATGGTTAAATAGCAACGTCGTCTTTGGTCGTCTTTGCCCGCTCTAAAGAGAAAGAGCCCCCAAAGTCCACAAAGAAGACAAATGGTAAACAAAACCTCCTGTCTTTTGACAGACTCCAAGACGAGTATCATTCACAGACCATTCAGCGGAGAAAAGGGAGAAATTTATCTCATCTGCCTTTGTATAGGACAACAGCTTGCACCATAACGAGGCCGTCCCAGTGCTGTGAAATCGCACTGAATAGCTGGAGAGTGCAGCCGCCTGTTCCCCGGGTATGTTTATTACAGTCCTTTGTACGCACCAACCCTGCCAGCTCTGGTTTGCTTCTAAACCAGGGGAGGGGAGAAAGAACCCAACAAATTTGTTGCTACGAAACTTCCCAAATGGGGCAACTACATAGTAATGTTTGGAATCTGATGCCCTTACTCCAGGCTGTTCTTGTCTGGGTCCACCCCTCCTCTACACTGGACAAGGTCCAGAGTCAGCCAATCACCAGCAGCATATGGGTGGCCTCGGCCCCCTGCCCAGGCCCTGTAAAGTCTGGGGTAAAGAGGCCCCAGAGGCCGTTCCCAAGCCAATTTGGGAGTCAAGAACCCCTGCCCTTTGTCCCTGTTCCCCTGTGAAATTCATCTGAAACAAAGCAAAGAAGTGCAGCTCTCACCTGAAGGCCTATGATAGGGCTTCCAGAAGTCATTCTCAAAAGATGGGGCCTAACTGGCCAAGCACGGTGGCTCATACCTGTAATCCCAGCACTTTGGGAGGCTGAGGTGGACAGATCACCTGAAGTCAGGAGTTCGAGACCAGCCTGGCCAACATGATGAAACCCCATATCTACTAAAAATACAAAAATTAGCTGGTTGTGGTGGCTTGCACCTATAATCCCAGCTACTCTGGAGGCTGAGGCAGGAGAATCGCTTGAACCTGGGAGGCAGAGGTTGCAGTGAGCCGAGATTGCACCACTGCACTCCAGCCTGGACAACAGAGTGAGACTCCATCTCAAAAAAAAAAAAAAAAAAAGCCAGAGCCTGGGGGCAGCACCACATCTACAAAATTTCAGAAGCCTCTGAGAGCAAACTGTCAAATATCAAACCTCGCAAGGAACCATTTCCTTGAACCATCTGGCCCTGGGAATACAAGGCAGGAGGTGCTGGTGGTGGTGGTGGTGGTGGTGGTGGTGGTGGTGGTGGTGGTGGTGGTGGTGGTGGTGGAAGGGGGTTGACCAGGAGACCCCTGTTTGAAGATCTCAAGGGTACACATCCCGCCAGCATCTGAACTTCTCCTAACGATGGTTCCTACCAAGATCTCAGGGTCTCTTTTTGGTGGGAAGTGTCCTATATCCCATAAGAGCATGATACCAGGAAAGGAAAGAGCTGAGGGGAAAGATCTGGACTTTCCAGAGATGTCTTTCTTCACCAATCAGATGGCTGGACTTCTTGGGTCAAATTTTTGCTCACCAATCAGAGAGTAGATATTTTCTTGCCAATCATGAAGCAGAGATCTCTGGGCAATGCTTTTTCTCACCAATCAGAAAGCAGAAACCTCAAAGCCCTGTCTTTCCTCACCAATCAGGTGGCAAATATTTTTAAGTGTAGTCTTCTGTCACCAATCAGGTGACAAGTTCCTTGAAGCACTGTCTTTCTTCACCAATCTGATGGCAGTTTCCTTGAAACACTGTCATTCCTCCCCAGTCAACAGGCACTAAGAGTCCCACCCTTTCCTGCCACATTTCTTCAGTAGAATTTGCCTGTGTCTTTCTGAGTAGAATCCATCCTTAGGTTTTCCCGTCCTGTGAGTTATTCTCCCAGGGTTCCCACCAAGGCCGGGGCAGCTGCTGTCCATGGCTGGGAAGGAAAACACAGCCACCTAGGCTGGCCACAATGTTGTAACTCGTAAAACAAGAACACATCCTCATTTATTTGCATCTGGCCCTCCTACAAACCAGTAAAGGAAGGTGGGCAATATCATGCCATTCAGCCAGAGTGGCAGACCCCTGGAGAATGGCCTGCGGGTTCCCGGGACCCTGTGGCTTCCTGACGTCTCTCACTCTGAGTGGTGAGAGGCTGCAAATGGCTCTTGTCCCTGTCCACAGCAACAGGGTGTAGGTGGAGGTGACCAGGGCCCTGCCCCTTCTTGCCTCTCTGGGAAACATACATTTCTAATTGGACAGCAGAAACTGGCATGACAGGAAGTGACCAGTGCCCTTTCTCACCCAGACCTTCTCACTCTCAGGCACAGGACTGCCCACCTGAGTGGCCGCTGTTGGGTAAAATTTCTTGGCTGAACTCCCAAGAAATCTATGTGCAAGCCAGCTGTTTACAAGACCCCTGGCCTCCATTTCTTCTGTAAAAGAGAGACAACAAACACTCTGGGCACAGGCAAAGGAGCTGGATACCTTCCAACTATGTTCTCTGGAAGCCCAAAGCCATCTCTCCCGGGGCTTGTCCTGGTCACACCTTTCTGGCATTGCAGATGTTTCTCGGGTCCCTTTGCCTGGGCCACCTTCCCATTCATTCTCTGCTCAGTCTTCTGGGGGATTCTCACCTGAAACCGTGATTTTTTAAAAAATGTGGAAACAGCCCAGCTACCTTTCTGTTCATGTTTCTCTTGGCAACCACCAGAGGCAGCCGTAAGTCCGCAGACACAGAAGGACACCTTGCTTGACCGAGGGAGCCATTCTACTTATGCCTGTGCATTTGGAATCAAAGGGATTTCTCCTGGAAGAGACAGATTGGGAACCTGTTTATTTTGAGAAAAGTGTTCCACATAAGCAGGGCTGGGTTGGATTCATGGGCCCCGTGCTCAGAAGGGCACCAGCTTGGTTGAAACTCTGCTGTCCTTGTTTCAAAATTCTTAATATCTCTGGAATAAGAAGCCCCCTACTTTGTTACTTTCTTTTTTTTTTCCCCCAAGATGTTCTTTCTTTTTTTTTTTTCGAGACAGTGTTTCGCTCTGTCACCCAGGCTGGAGTGCGGTGGCGCGATCTTGGCTCACTGCAACCTCCGCCTCCCAGGCTCAAGCTATTCTCCTGCCTCAGCCTCCCAAGTAGCTGGGATTACAGGCAACCGCCACCACACCCAGTTAATTTTGCTATTTTTAGTGGAGATGGGGTTTCACCATGTTAGGCAGGCTGGTCTTGAAGTCCTGACCTAGGGTGATCCGCCCGTCTTGGCCTCCCAAAGTGCTGGAAGCCCCCTATTTTCATTTTGCACTGGGCCCTGCAAATTATGCAGTCAGTCCTGCACACAAGTGCCCAACATCTGGTGGACTTCCTGTTAAGAAGATGATACTTTTGCTTCATCCACACGCTGAGCAGTGGCCACAGAAGGGTTTCTCTCCTGCAGGACGCCACCTGGGCCTGTCTGCCGTGGCTTGGGACCCTGGTGTGTTCGGGTCTACACAAGTCCAGGTCAGGACCCCACCCATGCCGAGGTGTTGCCCATGAGCCCTCAGAGGTAAATATCTTCTTGGGAAGCCATGTTCATGGCAGGCCCTGACCTTAGGCCACAAGTTTTGCAGCAGGAAAGCCCTGGTTCCTGGAATTCCCAAAAGATTTTGTGGGGTGGGGGGGGCCCCGCTTCTCACCCTCCAGCATCACTGAATTCTCTGGCATTTCATCAACTTCTCTGAATCATCTGACCATTGCTTCATTTTTGTTGGTACGAGAAAAACAAACAGCAGAAAGTTAAAACATTAGTGCTTGCTTCAGTGGACGAAAATAGTCTCCCGTCTCCTTTTAATTTTTTTTTTTGTCCTGAGAAGTAAAGCTATTTGCAGATGGATTAAATGTTCCTTCTGAGACCCTGCCCCTGAAACTGCCGACTCCGCTGTGACTGTACGTGTGTGTGTGTGTGTGTGTGTGTGTGTGTGTGTGTGTGTGTGTTTCGGGGGGGAGTGAGGGGCGGTGCGCACATATCCAAAGAAGTGAGTCTGCGTGCATTTGGTGAAAGAGAGTCCTTTGTCCCAACGGTAAGCCTGGCGAACATGACTCGCAGCCCTCTGGTATGCAGCACACCTGTGCAGAGGAGAAGCCCAGGAGGGGGAGGGGAGGGAGAGGTGTTGGCGGCCGCAGCCCTGCACCCTTGTAGGGGATCCCACCTTCTCCTTTCTTCTCCTTTGAGCCATGTCTCCATCACCCCTTTGTTTTGGCTTACACCTCCAAATACCAGGGAGGCGTGTGTGTGTGTGTGTGTGTGTGTGTGTGTGTGTGTGTCACAGAGAGAGAAAGAGAGAGAGATGACCTCAGACAACGCCAATTTGTACAGACTGGAAGAAAATAGAAAAGGAAGCGAGGAGGGAGCGGGAGGACTGATGTTCCCCGGGTCTCCCCAGCCCCCCGCCCCGCCACGTGTAGCCCACCTTTGCAGGCCTTCCGGTGGGTGATGGGCTTGCCCATGTCGCGGTAGTAGCCCTCCTTGCAGTAATGGCAGTGGCGGCCGGCGGTGTTGTGGCGACAGTTGAGGCAGACACCTCCGCTCTTGCGCCCCGAAAGCTTGTAGAGCTCCATGTTGAAGCGGCAGCGCCGGGCATGCAGGTTGCAGTTACAGGCTGCAGGGGGAGACAGAGAGAGGTGTCAGCCGCAGGGGCGCGGGGAGGACAGGCACCCAAGAGCGTCAAAAGAAACCCCACCCCTCAACTCCTCCCTTCTCCACTAGCAGAGCCAGGCAGGCAGACTTGTGCTCCAGGAGCTCCTCCTCGGCTCCTCCTGTTTGTACCCGTAAGCATTTATTGGGCACGTAACAATACATGGCTAAGGTTCTCCCAAAATTCTTATGTTGAAGCCGTGACCCCCAGTACCTCAGAATGTGACCATATTTGGAGACAGAGTCTTAAAACAAGGCCCTCAGAGTGGGCCCTATGCCAGTATGACTGTGTCGTTGTAGGAAGAGGAGATGAGGACACAGAGAGACGCAGGGACGCATGTGCACGGAGGAGAGATCCCGTGAGGACGTTGCCAGAGGGCGGCCATCTGCAAGCCACGCAGAAGGGCCTCCAGAGCAACCAACCCTGCCAACACCTTGATCTTGGACTTCCAGGCTGCAGAACTGTGAGAAGTAAACGTCTAGCGTTTCAGCCCCCAGCCCGTGGCACTTTGTTGTAGCAGCTGAGCAAACTACTGAGGCCCCTGCTGCCAGCCTGGCCTCCCCTTCTCCCCCTCCCCCTCGTCCACCGAGGACTCTGGGGCCTGCACACCATCGTTCTTCCCACCTCAACCTGTCCAGCTTCCGGAGGCTGCCCAGCCCTGCTCTGGGGAGAGGACCCCCACATTGTCAGCTATGGCTCTGCTCCACCTGTTCCCTCCCCATGAGCATTGCTCAGGACTCAGCTCCCTTTCCCTGCCCACCTCCACACCCTCCCCATCTGTCTCCTTCACCACTCATCATCTCTGTGCTCCCAACTCCCAAATCAGTATTTCCAGCTTCAGGTCTGGGGTCTCCACTTGAACCCAGAGTCACCTGCCCGACATCATTCACTCCTTACCATCCTGCCCTCAGGTTCCCTGTGGCTTGAGCTGAGTCCCACAGGCTCCCCTCAGCATGATCAGCAGAAGCACAATTTCTTTTTGTTTGTTTGTTGTTTTTGAGACGGGAGTCTTTCTCTGTCGCCCAGGCTGGAGTGCAGTGGCCTGATCTCGGCTCACTGCAACCTCCGCCTCCCGGGTTCAAGCGATTCTCTTGCCTCACCCTCCTAAGTAGCTGGGATTACAGGTGCACACCACCACGCCAGGCTAATTTTTGTCTTTTTAGTAGAGATGGGGTTTCACCATGTTGGTCAGGCTGGTCTTGAACTCCTGACCTTGTGACCTTCCCACCTCAGCCTCCCAAAGTGCTGGGATGATAGCCGTGAGCCACCACACTCAGCCCAGAGCAGGATTTCTAAGCACCAATCTGAGGGCGCCCATCAGGATCAAGTCGAAAGCACTCAGCATGGCCTTCAGGGCTCCAAATAAGCTGGTCCTGTCTCGTCCTTCAGCCTCTCGCTCTTTATGCTCCAGTGATTCCAAACTTTGGTCTGTTTCTAGAGCCACGTGCAAGGACCCCTCGCCTGCCCCTCTGGGGCTCTGGACATGCTGTTCCCTTCCTCCCAGGACACTCCCGTTTTATCTGGCTGCCTCCTTCTCATCCCCCAGGTCTTGGTTCCAATGTTACTTCCCAGCCCCGCTCCACCCCACCAGCCTGGCGTGGGCACCCAGCATGGCCTCACACAGCTTTCCTTGTGCCACATCAGGATTGCCTGTCACCTGCCTTCTTCTTTAGGCTTCCAACCCCAGGGTTACTCCAGCACAGGTCTGGCCTCTTCTCGTTCACTCCACAACATGGTTTCACGCTCAGTGTGTTCTAAATCACGTTTTATGGAATTTCTAAAGAAATACATGCTGGGTTTGTTTTGTTTTGTTTTGTTCGAGGCAGGGTCTCACTCTGTTGCCCAGGCTGGAGTGCAATGGCACAGATCTTGGCTCACTGAGACCTCTGTCTCCTGGGCTTGTCAGATCCTCCCACCTCAGCCTCCCAAGTAGCTGGGACCACAGACATGTGCCACCATGCCCAGCGAATTTTTTGTATTTTTTTTTGTAGAAACAGGGTTTCACCATGTTGCCCAGGCTGGTCTCGAACTCCTGGGCTCAAGATATCTGCCTGTTTTGGTCTCCCAAAGTGCTGGGATTACAGGCGTGAGCCACCACACCCAACCTAAGAAATATATATTTAATTCATGCACTCAAAAAACAAAAGCAGGAAGAGAAAGGAACACACTCCTATTTCTACCAACCACAGTTGCTACAGAGATCTTTCCTTTCAGGCTTTCATTAACATTTGTTCAGTTGTGGAGCTATTTAATTCTTTCCTACAAACACGGATCATACTTTTATACATCTAGTTTTGTGGGGGTTTTTTTTCATAATAATGAACATTTTCTTGTGTCAAATACTGATCTTCACAATGTTTAAAAGATGTCCGGGCTGGGCATGGTGGCTCACAGCTATAATCCCAGCACTTTGAGAGGCCAAGGTGGGCAGATCTCTTGGAGCCAGGAGTTTGAGACCAGCCTGGCCAATATGGTGAAACCCCGTCTCTACTAAAAAATACAAAAATTAGTCAGGCATGGTGGTTTGCGCCTGTAATCCCAACAACTCGGAAGGCTGAGGCAGGAGAATCTCTTGAACCTGGGAGGTGGAGGTTGCCATGAGCCACCACTGTACTCCAGCCTGAGCCACAGAGCGAGACCCTATCTCACAAAAATTAAAAACTAAAAAATAAAATTCCTCTGGCACTGTGTTGCATGGCTATGCATAGTGGGCCTCTTGGAGTTGGAAGTGGAGGCATTTAAAAGAAGGACCTCCCAGGGTTGGGCACCTATAGGTCGTTTCCCATTTTTCACTATTATAAATGTCAACTACCTTTGAACATAAAGGTAACCACCTTGAACCACCTTTGAACATATATATTTGTGCTCTGCTCCAATGACTGTTGTAGTGCAAATTTCTCTAGATGGAATTACTGGGTTGAATTTTGAACCTACATGTTTTTATATTTTTATTTATATTTATTTATTTATTTATTTGAGATGGAGTCTCGTTCTGTAGCCCAGGCTGGAGTGCAGTGGCGTGATCTTGGCTCACTGCAACCTCCGCCTCCCAGGTTCACGCGATTCTCCTGCCTCAGCCTCCCGAGTAGCTGCTATTACAGGCGCCTGCCACCACACCCGGCTAATTTTTTGTATTTTTAGTAGAGACAGGGTTTCACTATGTTGGCCAGACTGGTCTCAAACTCCTGACCTCGTGATCCACCCACCTCGGTCTCCCAAAGTGCTGTGATTACAGACATGAGCCACTGCGCCCAGCCCTTCTACATGTTTTTAACATTGGCACCAAATTGCCAAACTGCCCTCAAGAAAGGCTGTACTGGCTTATACACCTACCAGCAGGATATGAGAGCTCCTATTTCACCACGTGCTTGAAAATAATAATATGCATTTGGTATCGGCATTCTTTTTAAAAAATATTGGCCACTCTGTCTGAGAGAAAACACACACACACAGACGATTTTAATTTGCATGTCTTTGATTACTAGGAAGGTTGGGCATTTCCCCATGTATTGTTTTTCTATTTATATTTCTTTTTTGTGCATTGCCTGTTCATGCCATTTGCCCAGTTTTCAAATAAGGTGGACTTTTTTCATGCTGTCTAGTGATCAGGAGGATTAAACATTGTTTGTCTTTTCTGCCATATAAGCTGTAAATATTTTTAAGTTTCTCATTCACATGTTACTTTAATTTGTGATCTTTAGAAAAACATGTGCCTCTTTAATTTTTCTCTCTGATGTTATGACAAGCTTCTTTAAGTGCTCTTCCTAGAGTCACTGCCAAGTCACTCACCCATTAGTCATTTCATTTACAAATAGAGGTGGACAGGGCCCTAGAAAAAGCAGTGTGGGATGCAGGAGAAAAGACAGCTCCTGCCCTGAAGTCTGAAAGCAGCCAGAAGCCAAATTAGACCAGGGGATGAGTCCCAGAACCTTGCTAACTGTCCTCCGGCAAGTGTTCCCAGGGCTGAGTTCAACCAAGTGCAAAGAAAGAGGCTGCAGCTGCACCTTGCCCTCCTGCAGACGACTGTCACGCCTGCACACACTCACTCTCTTTGGACTCACTCTGCCAGACAAGGGTGACAGGGGCCTGCTCAGAGAGGTGAAATGACCAACCAGCCCAGGACCACAGAGCCAGTAAATGGGGGGGCCCAGGATGGGAACCCTACCCTTCTGGCTCCTGGTCCACTGGCTCAGAGGAAAAGACCCCTATCACTGGAAGTAACAGCTGGCCTAGACTACAGTCAGAATCTACATCTTTCTTACAAGCACAGAAATCACAGGAACTGGAACACCTGCCTGGGGACAGGGATCTGGAAGGATCACCCAGGCCTCACTTCCTCAGGCCTCCCTTGTACCAGGAAAGGCCTGATAACAGCATCATCCTGTCCTTCTTGGAGGCAAATGTCCTTCTCCTGCATTTTCCAGAGGGGCCTGCCCTAACCTCTGAGCCCCTTCTGGGAGCTCAGCCTCCACTTTTCCCACCCCAGGAGGAAGCTGGGGGCTGGTAGCTCTCTTCCATATGCACCTTACGCCAACAAAAGGTTCTTCCTAAACAACTGGTCACACAAAAGAAAACTCTGAGGCAAACATCAAAAGGCAGGGCTCCCTTCCCTCCCCTGCTTCTTGGAGCTGTCAGGAGACATCAAGTGGCAAATGCCCATGCTCAGACTTCTGCAAAGTATTTTACAGCTTGTTTTCTTTTCTCTTTGTTTTATTTTCTCTGCACAGATGGAAAAATGCGTTGGGCAAAGCAGCTCACATCTGGATCCCTCGGCTCCACACAGAGGCGTCACCCAACTCCCGGCCTGTCCCTAGCCCCTTCCTCAGAGAGACACCTTAATCCTTTGCGCCTTCCTGTTTATCTCCTGCATCTCTTGGAGGCAAAAATATTGGGTATTAGTTTCATTATCAGATTTCAAGACAGGGAGGAAAGGGCAGCTTTGTGAGAACAGAGAGGTCAGCCCAGAGAAAAGGGGGTTGGGGGTGGCAGAGACACTCTTGAGGGACCAGCAGGGGCAAGGACAGAAGCACTGCCTAGGCCATTGAGGCTCTGCCTCTTATCCAGGGGTACCCCAGACACCCACAGACACCCCAAGCTTTGTGCCCCTCTTTGGCTATCATGTGAGGATCACCAAGGATGCATCACATGTGGCTGCATTTCAGACCCAGGGCATAACGAGGGTAAGGAAGATAGGAGGGCGAGAGGCCCCACTTTCCAACCAGAAACCCAGTAGGAAAAGAGGCCCAAGAGGTGGGTTCCTATTTTCTTCCCCCATCAAAAAGTCCTCTAAGTCCTATTTCAACACATGCCTGTGGCCACTCCTTACCTCTCAACATTCCTGCCTTTCTGCCCCTCTCCCTCTCCCACCAACCTGGAACTGCTCAACCCCTTCCCACTCCCCAGGTCAGGTCAGTTCAGTGCATACTCACAGTGTTCTAGCTATGTTCCCAGCTCTGTGCTACAGGCTATGTGAGATACACAGATGGACAATGCACTCTCAACTATCCATGGGTTCCCCATCTAATGGAGGGAACAAACTCATGTCAGAAAATTCTCTGATCAAGTGGGACTAATCTCTCATTAACTGTGTTGGTTTGCTGAGGATAGGGACAGCGTTTGCTCTTATATCCTCCAGCCCACAGAAAGCCTTCATACATTTTTGTTGTGCAAATGAGAGACAGAAAGCAAACAAGAGAGAAGATAGATGGATGGATGAATGAATGGAAGGATGAAAAGGTGGATGGATGGACGGATGGATAGATGGAGAGAGGGATGGACGGATGGATGGGGTTGATAGGTGGGTGGAGGGAGGGAGGGAGGGAGGGATGCATGGATGGATGGATGGACGCATGCATGGATGGATGGATGGATGGATAGGTAGGTGGGCAGGTAGACAGGCAAGCGGGTATGTATAGAGACAGTTAGATAGTTAGACAGGTAGGGCAGATAGAGGATTTACTGCCTGAACCACTCCCTGACAAGGCATAGCCTTGCGACATCTGATTGTTGCTTTCAACTGCTTTAACTCATCAATTTAACTTCTGTCTGCTCAAGTAGACTGCTGTGCTTTAGAGAGAAAAACCCACATCTAAGTCCCCTGGACTCTTCCTGGAACTCTAAGTAGTGCCCTTGCACACAGAGACTGAATCTGCATCCATTGTTTTTGATGAATTTACCAAACCATAAGTGTTGGCCCACCCCAAAAGACCCTGGCGAACTTACTCTCAATCCCATCAGGACTACCCCAGGTCCAGAAAGCATCCAGCAGACATTGGTGAGCAGTTTCCAGACCATGTCTCTCAGGGACTCTGGTCCTGGCTCCCCCAGACTTCACATGGCCCAGGGGCTTCTCACTGGAGCAGGAAGGCCATTTGGTGATGGGTCTCCTCAGAGGCTCTAGTCTGGGGCCCAGTACCCCACAGCAGCCCTCCAGCACACAGGATCACCATGTCTTCTCCTTCCAGAGCAGTTCTTTTGAGAAGACTGACCATGTTATCTCTGTAGCATAACGGCTGAATTCTCCAAAAAAAAAAAAAAACCAACTCACGCAGGCACCATCGCAGGCTGCAGGCCCCAGCCATTGGCTGCCTGCGCACTGGGACAGGTACTGCTCTCAGATCTGTCATGATTGTTGACACATTTCCACATGTCCAGGCCACATGGGCAGGTTGGGACATGGCAAAAATTTGCAGGTCGGTGGGGGGCGCTTCTTCCCTCACCAGCTCCTCTGCTAGGTAAGTCCATGGCTCCTGGGTAAGGACCAGGAGACCTACTCAGCATGTACAACTCACAAATTCCCTGAGGGAGAGGGGGCAGTGTTCTCAACCGGTGGCAATTTTGTCCCCCAGTGGACATCTGGCAGTGTCTACAGACATTTTTGGTTATCATGACTGGGGAGGGAGGGGCTGTTTGCATCCAGGGATAGAAACCAGAGAGGTCGCTAAACTTCCTACAATGCACAGGACAGTTCCCCCAAACAGAGCCTGCCAAATGTCCATAGTGCTGAGTTTGAGAATTCCTGGGTTAGGGAGATCATGACGCCCACCGCCTCCAGGGTATGTAAATGTTTAATCCCCTTTGCCTAAAATGCTGTTCTCTAAGTGCAAACTCTGAGGCTTAGAAAGCTGCTCCAGGAGCGCCAGGCGCAGTGGCTCACGCCTGTAATCCCAGCACTTTGGGAGGCCGAGACGGGCGGATCACCTGAAGTCAGGAGTTTGAAACCAGCCTGACCAACATGGAGAAACCCCGTCTCTACTAAAAAATACAAAATTAGTGGGCATGGTGGCACATGCCTGTAATCCCAGCTACTCGGGAGGATGAGGCAGGAGAATCGCTTGAACCCGGGAGGCAAAGGTTGCGGTGAGCTGAGATCACGCCATTGCACTCCAGCCTGGGCGACAAGAGCAAAACTCGTCTCAAAAAAAAAAAAACAAAAAAGAAAAAGAAAGCTGCTCCAGGAGGTGACTGTCATTAACTCCTTCAACAAAGCTTTAACTGACGCCTTTAAAAGGGCCAGGTGCTGGTGTGACAGCGGCAGGCAAGATGGAGTCCTGTCCCAGGGTCCTTCCTGGCTCAGGGGAAGATGGACAGTGGTCTAGTAATTGCACTGTTTTCAACGGTGACCAGAGCTGTCAAGACTAACACTCAAGGAGGCCGTTCTTCTGGACCTCTCTGGAACAACGGGGAGAGGACAGGGCCTGAGAAGAGAGTCGGAGCACAGACGGGATATTCTGCCAGCGCTGCCCCAACTGTAACGTGCATATGGTCACCTGGGGATCCTGTGCAAATGCAGGCTCTGATGGGGAGGGATGGAACTGGAACTCAATGGAAAAGAACCCAGTTGGGACATGACCCACTGTGTGGACAGAGAGCCTTTGCAAGGAGGTAAAGGGAGGTTCAACCGCAGGGGCCTGTGATGGGGCAGTGGGCAGATGCCTGGTTTCAAGAGAAATTTCTCCTTAAATGACTGGTTCAGAATCATAAAAATACTTGAGAGTTATTTTTAAGAGTTTGAGGTAGTCTGTATTTCCTTTATTACTTTGCTGCTCCATTTGGTATGCTATTTATTTAGAAATTGTTCAGCTCCTGTTTATAAATTTTAGGTATTCCGCCTCCAGTGTGTTTTTCTGAGCCCCCTTTTCAGCGTCTCCTGAAATGGCTGGGTGGAGCAACTCCAGCTGCCCACACACCTAACTCCCGCCCACACCTGGGGATCATTCTGAGCCAACCTCTCAAAGGGCTCCTTTTGGGAAAGGGGCCGAGGCAGGACTGGCCCAAGAATTTCTGGGACTCACAGCCTTTTGTGTCTACAGGTGAGCTGGGCATAAGAGAAACGATCATACATATACATACATTTATAAAACAATCCAAGCCCAGACTTAGGTTTTACTTCACTATTAGCAAATCTGGTAGGGCATGAATTTATCAAAGCATTCAACAAGTATTTACTGAGCCCCTACCTGGTGCATTCTGGGCACCATGCAAGGTGCTGGGGACGTCACAGTGAGCAGGACAATCATGGTCCCTGCCCTGGCAGGGTCGGTGGAAATACCTGGGCATGCTAAGGTCTGGTTAATGCTGCTGCCGCTGTGGTCTCACTCCCAGGTCCACCACTATCCCCCAAACATAGGCTTAAGGCTCGTCACTGGAGACATCAGCCAGCCAGATAAAATGCAGCAGTGACCAGCCAGAGGGAGTCACGAGACTGGATGACCCCTACGGGGACCGTGAGGACATCACACAGGAGTAGTTGGTTCCACTCAAGGCTCTGGGGTTTGCACTCATTGAGGATGCCTCGTTTCAACCATTTTAAAAACCATTGACAAACAGTCTCCTAGATATGGCCAGGAGAACTGGACAACTCACTTGTCTGAAAGAAAAGAGTCAACAGGTAGAGTCAGTCCACGCAGGGCATGAGAGCCAGGCGAGGTAAGGATGTCCCATGGGACTCTCTGGAGTTCCAGAGACCATGTGAGGGAAGATGTGGCACTTCGAGATGCCACAAGGACACCAAAACAGGACCCGCTTCTACCTGACTGCCCGTTCGTTGCTTCATTCAACAAACATGAACGGAGACCTTGGAAGTGCCCAGCTCTGAGTGGGAAGCACGCCTGCCATAGGGCTGACGTTGCTGCATTCTGCTCTCTCAACAGACCGTGGCCCCCTCTTCCTTCTCTTGAGCTGTGGTTTTTAATTCAAGCAGCTACCAAACAAACCCCTCTCAAAGCCCCAACCTGTGATGATGCTCCAGCTTGGGTGCACAGATTCACCAGCATTCCCTCCTAAGACACACAGAGCTGAGTCAACCCCCAGAGTTTCTTTTTATTTTGAGACAGAGTCTTGTTCTGTTGCCCAGGCTGGAGTGCAGTGGCAGGATCTCAGCTCACCGCAAGCTCTGCCTCCCAGGTTCAAGCGATTCTCCTGCCTCAGGCTCCCAAGTAGCTGGGATTACAGGCACCCGCCACCACGCCCTGCTAATGTTTTTGTATTTTTAATAGAGACGGGGTTTCACCATGTTGCCCAGAATGATCTCAAACTCCTGACCTTAGGTGATCTGCCCACCTAACTGCAACCTCTGCCTCCCGGGTTCAAGCAATTCTCCTGCCTCAGCCTCCCGAGTAGCTGGGATTACAGGTGCGTGCCACCACACCTGGCTCATTTTTGTATTTTTAGTAAAGACAGGGTTTCACCATGTGGGCCAGGCTGGTCTCGAACTCCTGATCTCAGATGATCCACCCTCCTAGGCCTCCCAAAGTGCTTGGATTACAGGCATGAAGCACCGCACCTGGCCGCCCCCTGGAGTGTCACTATTACTAACCAAGATCAAACACAATGGCTACAACCTCACAAGCAAGCAAGAGGAAAGAGAGCTGGGGCCTGATGTGGGAAGCCTGGACTCTAGCTCCGGCTCCGCGACTCCCCCAGGTGTGTGACCTGGAAAGCCCACTTGGCCCCTCTGAACCCATTCTCCCATCTGAAAAATGAAGACATCTGCGTCTGATGATTTCTAAGTTATTTTCTGGCCCTAAAAGTCTAACTCATGATACCCAAACTCCTGCAGGGTAGGGGACAGATCAGCAGACTCACATCAGCATGGAGGCCTTTGGGAGGGGACCCTGGAATTCAGAAGTGGGGTGCTCCAGGCTAGGTAATGACGCTGTGAAGAAGCCTCAGGGTGGAAGCCAGTGACAGGGCTGTGGAAAGGGCTCTAAGACCACCTCCAGGCAGCGGGTGGATCACAGCTGGGAATTGCCATGGCCCTGGGGTGGTGGCGGGATGACCCTGCAGGCTTCCCCCTTGCTGAAAGTGGAGGTATGGGAGCCTTCCCAGGGGAACCATCAGAGGGGCGTGGCCAACAGGACTGATGACCACCTGGGTCTTTCAGAGAGAATGGGTGTGCAGGATCCTCTCCGGGGAACTGGGCAGAGGAAACTATTTTGGGGGAGAAAAAAGGAGTTTACCTTTGGGCATGCGGTGGCACAGCAGGGGGATTTAGCAGAGGGCAGTGAGCAATAGTGTGTCCAGAGTTGGTTCCTGCCAGTGGGTTCCCGGTCTCGCTCACTTCAAGAATGAAGCCGTGGACCTTGGCGGTGAGTGTTACAGCTCTTAAAGGTGGCACGGACCCAAAGAGTGAGCGGCAGCAAGATTTATTGTGAAGCGCAAAAGAACAAAACTTCCACAGCGTGGAAGGTGACCCGAGTGGATTGCCACTCATGGCCCGCGGGGGGCCAGCTTTTATTCCCTTATTTGTCCCTGCCCATGTTCCATTTCTGTCCTATCAGAGTGCCCTTTTTTCAATCCTCCCCGCGATTGGCTACTTTTAGACTCGGGCTGATTGATGCGTTTTACAGAGTGCTGATTGGTGCATTTTACAGAGTGCTGATTGGTGTGTTTTACAGAGCGCTGATTGGTGCATTTTACAATCCTCTTGCTAGCTACAGAGTGCTGATTGGTGTGTTTTACAATCCTCTTGTAAGACAGACAATTTTCCCAATTCCCCAGCAGACCCAGGAAGTCCAGCTGGCTTCACCTCTCCACAGGGACCCTCCGTGGTCAGCCTTAGAGGCCCCTGAAGCCAAGTTCTCCCAGAGAGGAGCCCATACACCTCTCTTAAGTCTCTCTTTCAGAACCAGGCCTGCAGGGCCACTCCATTTAGTTTTTAGGGTCCAATTTGAAAACAGAATTTCTGTCCACCCTCCCTTCCCCCTCCCCACCACCACCTGTGCTTTATCTCTGATACCAGAAATGCCGTGGAAGAGGGGTGGATCAAGGTGGTAGGAAAAATGAAAGAAAGTGGGAAGTGTTTTGGAACCTCAGTGCCCGGAGTCACAGTCAGAGTGGGACGGGAGGCTGGAGTTCCCGGCTTGCCAAAGACAGGCTTTAGATGGTTTCTGATAAAGTCCCCGGAGATAAGTGGCCTGTGTTTGTCGAGGGCTTAGGGAGCTTTAGCCAAGTCTGAACACAAAGGGGCCTTCTGTCAACAGTCCTTCAGGCCACTAATAGGGCTGAATAAACACTACAGTAACAAGTTCTTCACACCTGTGGGGCTTGGGAAAGGCCCCAGCCCCTTTGTCAAGATGTCAGACAAAAGGGCTGCTAGGAGTTGGCCTCCCACCCCGCAGCCAGACCCTCTTAGGCTTCTGGGGGAAGGGACAGGGGTGGGGGGCAGATAAGTCTTAAGTCTGGTGAGTCCTGTCTCCTTCTTCAAGCAGAAATGTCCAGGGGGGACCAACTGATGGACGTGGTCCCTGCAAAGAGGCTGGCGGCAAACAGACCGGAGAGGGCATTTCGTGGGGTTTGGGATCAGGACCACGGGCAGGATTAAGGATACCGGGGTCACGGGCTCGGCTCTCCAAAAAGCACAGCCCAGGCCCTGTGGTTCTTTCTCCCGCTGTGCCGGGCACCCGGCCCCTCCCCAGTGGACAGCGGGGGCCATCCCCCAAATCTGCTTGACCTCGCCGTCATTTTTTCCACTGACTTTTTTTTTTTCTCTGTAAACATCTTAGCCTTTTCTCTTCCCTGCCCTTTTTTGGCTGCTATGCCTCCCCCTAAGGCTTTGAAACAATCCCCTCCTAACGAACATGTCCCAGGCCCTTGCTGCAAAAGAATCACTCAGGGTTCCTGCTGCACAAACATCCTTCTCTCCGCCTGCCCGGCGGGCGGGCCCCTCTCTTGGAGGAAATGCCGAGCAGGCTTTGGTAAGCCCTGAGCAGTCATCAGTTCTTTGTCTGCTGCGTTCCTCAGATCCTCCGTCCACGTTCCAGTCCGGAGCCTCTGCCCCAGGCAGAGGGTGAGTGCTCTCTCTGCCACCTCCTTCGGGGACTTTAGCCCTGGCCCTCTATGTGCCATGCACAACTCTACGCCTTCTCCACCTCCAACCAGCCCGCCACCCCAAATCCCTCTTCAGACATTCCTCTCATTTGTCACTGCCCTGTTCTGGAACCTTCCATGGCTGCCCACTGTCTATGAGATGCAAACTTTCTTGCCTTTCAGGACAAAAACAGTTTCACAGTGGGGGTCCAGAGACTGGAGGTCTTGCTCCTTCCTTCCTTATTTATTTATTATGTATTTTTTGAGATGGGGTTTCACTCTTGTCACCCAGGCTGGAGGGCAGTGGCGTGATCTTGGCTCACTGCAACCTCTGCCTCCTGGGTTCAAGTGGTTCTCCTGCCTCAGCCTCCCAAGTAGCTGAGGATTACAGGCGCCCGCCACCATGCTGAGCTAATTTTTGTATTTTTAGTAGAGATGGAGTTTCGCCATGTTGGCCAGGGTGGTCTCAAACTCCTGACCTCAAATGATGCACCCTCCTCGACCTCCCAAAGTGCTGGGATTGCAGGTGTGCGCCACCATGCCTGGCTAATTTTTGCATTTTTAGTAGAGATGGGGTTTCACCATGTTGGTCAGGCTGGTCTCGAACTCCTACCTCAAGTGATCCACCCTCCTCAGCCTCCCAAAGTGCTGGGATTACAGGTGCTCACCACAGTGCCTTGCCCTGCTCCTTCCTTATAATAAGACCCTGCATGAAACCTCACCCCATCCCACCCAGTCCTCTCCAAGCTCCAGATCTATCAGCAAAAGAAGGAAGGGGGACATTGTTCTAAGGACAAACCCAGGGTCTTGGGGCTGGTGCAGCCTTCCAGGGTTTCCTAGTTTACCCTCTTGTAGAAGAAGAGATGAGAAGAACAAGGTCCCAAGAAGCAAAGAGATGTTGCCAGGGACCTGGCAATAGTGAATGGTGACTAACACTTCACCAAACTAATTCAGAGCTCTTTCCAGACCCCCAGCAGCATGGTGAGGGTGACATGGTCTCAGGCAGAAAGAAGCCTGATAAAACCCTGTGGCTGCTGGAATTCATTCCTGAAGGCAGAGAATTTTCAAACTGGAAGAGATTGTCTGAGCAAAGTTCTCCCGGAAGCTTTTGTTGCCATGAAATTCTCTTTGCTCTGTGACTTGCCCGCCCTGCCCAGATGTCTGGTTAGCAGCTCGGGGGGTGGCAGCAGGGTGTGTGTGGGGGTGTGGGGGGGGTTCCTTCCAATCTCTTTTCCCTAGAGGTGGTGCATACACTCCCTGTGCTTTATGAAATGGACATATGAGGGCTGATTTGCCAGCCAAGCCGGCCAAGCCTGGCTCCTGGCTCCCTGGAGTCATTTCCCATCTGTAATGGCTCCCGTCACTAAGCCAGGCACTTGCCAGGCTGGAGATTCAAGGCGGGACTCCAGGGCAGTGGGAGAGGCTGGTGCAAGGGAGGCTTAATGACTTGCAGTTGATTCTGTTCTCCAGACACCAGGCAGGAAAACATGCAATTCCCAGGACACCTTCCCCAGCCCTTTGTTCCCCTCTACCCCCATGGGCTGTATCCCTCCCTGCTTGACCTTTATTTAATTCATCTCTTTAGTTAACTTTGACTTGGGTTGTAAACTCCAGAGACCAGCCCAGACTGCAGCCAAAACTACTGCAGGGTTCAATACTGCACACCAGACCCCCGTGTGACCAACAGATCAAGATTCCTGCTCGTGGACAGGGACAGGGTGAAACCAGGGTCCCAATCTGCACGCTGGACCCCCGTGTGCCCAACAGAAACCAGTGTCCCATTGGGCCACTCCAGGACAACACCAAAACGCCTTCTCAGTTTCCTAATTCACTCTCCGACTAGACTCGGGTTGCCAGGTTTAGCAAATAAAAATACAGAACACCCAGTTAAATTTGAATGGCACAAATCATTTTTAGTAAAAGTATGCCCCAAGACTGGCATGTCAGTGCTACCTCCAGGACACACCAGATCCCTACCCAGCTTGGGCTGTGCCTAAGATGTACGATTTCACGCAACGGTTTTTTTTATCAACAGCCACTTTAATTTCCTCAGTCTCCACAAGTCCCAGAAGAGGTTAAAAGGGCCCCTCAACTCAACAGGTCTAGGAGAGAAGAGTCCTGTTTGGGTTTTTCTTAACTCAAAGGGTTGTCTGCTTCTTCAGTTCCTATTTGCTTAGCACCAGCTTGTCGTTCCCTTATTTCCCTCTCTCAATCTGCTGAACAAGAATAGATACCTGTGCCCAGGAGCACGTGGAGATTTGTGAGAAGGGAAAAGACCCTGCCCATTGGATGACCCAAAAACTGCTTTCCAGTTGCAGGGCACTGTCTGCAGGGCCGTCAATGCCAAACAGACAGACCACGCCCCTCTGCCCCTACCCAGCCCCTCAAGAGGCCCTGTCACTAGTTAGCATGCCCCCACTTCACATGCAAAGATCCCCATGTGGAACCAATCACACTCCAGTTCCAGGAGACACAAGGGGGAGGAAGGCAAGTATGGCCAGAGTGGCCCCAAATCTGTACCCAAACAAAGCCATTTTCATCATGATATGCTTTGTGGTGAAAATGATCAAAATCTGAACCCCAATTCTGAATCCAGTTATTTTAATCAAACCACTAGGTACAATTCATTTAGAGCTCAGTAAAGTGTCTATGAGATTTAATGAAAGATTTTAGGTGGCCTACCATCAAACAGAGGATAAGACAGGGGATGGCAGATTCCAGCTGGCCAAAGGAGCTAGAATGGGCCACCCCTGGGGGACAGTGACTTTGCCATCCCTGGAGACCTTCAAGTAGAAAAATACGGTACAGGAGACTCCGGCTCTGGGGAGGAGGTGGAACTAGACTGATCGAGACCCTTCCAACTCAGAGAGCCTTAGAAGACACATTTCCTGCCTCTGGGATGTCAGATCCTTACAGGTTTGAGGTTAGCATTGGCCTTGCTAATATTCTTTTTTGAGACGGAGTCTCTCTCTGTCGCCCAGGCTGGAGTGCAGTGGCTCGATCTCAGCTCACTGCAAGCTCTGCCCACAGGTTCATGCCATTCTCCTACCTCAGCCTCCCTAGTAGCTGGGACTACAGGTGCCCGCCACTATGCCCGGCTAATTTATTCATTTATTTTGTATTTTTAGTAGAGACGGGGTTTCACCGTGTTAGCCAGGATGGTCTCGATCTCCTGACCTCGTGATCTGCCCACCTCGGCCTCCCAAATGGCCTTGTTAATATTCTTACACGTGAGCTAATGGAAGGGATTTCCAGTCTGCAAATGACCCTGAGTCCTTACGGGGAGGGACTGCGCAGCAGAGCTTCCCTGTGGGCAAATGCGGGAAGAATCCAAATTGTCCTTCTGCAATGATGTCCTGAGTTATCTAGTACAGCCAGGGAAAACAGCCTGGGGAAAGCCACAAGCTCTTCCTCATGGAGAGATGGTGGCTCCATAGCTGAACATCCTCTGAACAGGCCTTTGGGGGTTCAAAAGCTTTAGGGCAGACTGATCTTCCACAGAGAGGTAGCAAGGCAGCTGTCTATGGCCAGCATCTCAACACCGATGCCGGGGTATTACCCAGAAGCACCAGCTACTGAGTATTTTGGACATCTCCTCCACATATGGGGACAGTAAGCAACCCCAGTGCCTCGCTGGCTCTGAAACTCCCAGGCAAGAATCCAACAAGGGACTGACCAGGAAAGGAGAGTCCTGCGGCGAGTTAGCCCCTCACTTTCCTCCTCCAAATTGTTTTGAGAGCCAATAGCACGGGCCAAATCCCTAGCTCACTAGCAATCAGAGACATTGTCCCGCCTCACTCTGTCTCAGCACCCAGAGGGCATGGCTGCCAGGAGCCCCAGGGTGTGTCTAAAGACCCCCAGGGTGTGTCTAAAGACCCACAGGTCCCCTCCAGCCCTGCTAACCAGCAGAAGGCGATGGGAGGTAGGAGTGCATTGGCTGCTTGTTTCAGGACTGAGGACCAAGGTATGCATAAGCAAGGTGGTCCCCTCCTTGAGGACTCACCCCCAAAATGGGCAGGAAGTCTGTGCCCAGAAGGAGTGAGGGGCCTCTGGGAGCTCTAAGAAAGAAAATGCAGAGAACAATGAGATGAGCTCAGGGCAGGAGGTGGGAGCTGAGGGCAGCCTTCAAAGCTGGGGCAGTTCACACCTGCCACTTCCACTCAGCCACCGTAACAGTGACACATGACTCACGTGGAGCAGTCTCTGTGCACCAGGCACCCCTGGGTCATTATGCTTCAAGCCTCCTCATGAGCCCTGGATCCTAGTGTCCCCTCCCTGCACCTTACTCAGCTGTTTGCCTCCTGTCTCTGTCCATACATGCCTGCACCACTGCTGAAGGTACGGCAGGAAGAGAACTGAGGAATGTGCTTGAAAGGGCACAAGGGCCTCGCAGGGGTCTCCCAAACCCTAGACAGCTCAAGCTGCCCAACTTGTGACTTCAGAAACAGTCTCCTTATCTTCTTCCAGCCCGCAGAGGCTTGGATGGAAAATGAATACAAACACATCTGTTCTTCTAAATACCCCACACTTTTTTTTTTTTTTTTTTTTTTTGAGATGGAGTCTTGCTCTGTCGCCCAGGCTGGAGTGCAGTGGCCGATCTCAGCTCACTGCAACCCCTGCCTCCTGGGTTCAAGTGATTCTTCTGGCTCAGCCTCCCAAGTAGCTGGGACTACAGGTGCCTGCCACCACGCCCGGCTAATTTTTTGTATTTTCAGTAGAGACAGGGTTTTGCCATGTTGGCCACGCTGGTCTCAAACTCCTGGCCTCAGGTGATCCACCCACCTCGGCCTCCCAAAGTGCTGGGATTACAGGTGTGAGCCACCGTGCCTGGCCAACACCCCATACTTTACAACTTTACTTTGATCCAATTAAAGGAAGCCAGAAAATAATGTCGAGACCCTGGCTGGACTCACACAGCTCACAGGAGTGACAGGGACTGGACGCCTGGCCCACTCTGCTCAGAAGCCTGGCCCTTTCTTCTCCCCCAGCTGCAAATGGGGTGGTAGGGGGTTAGTCCTCCCCAGACCTCCACCCTGTGACTCAGTTGGTTTTGTGACCAGAATAGATCTATTTAAGATACACACTGGGCCCGGTGGCGTTGTTTTATGACATTAGTTCCCCTCAGGTAGTCTTTGAAAATGTTTTTTCTTACCCTAAAATTAGGGGGCTTGGGAACAAGACAGGTTCCTAGTACAAGTCAGGGTTGGAGGGAACCCACATGTGAACGCCCCACATTTCTTGGCCCTGGTGCTCCTGGCTGCTGTGGATGTGGCTAATTCCCCAGGAGTCCTCTGTAATTCCACAGTAATGTGGATTTAATTGTCCCCAAAGCAGGCCATTCTTCCTTTATTGTGCAGTAAATTTCCCTCCAGAGTTCGGATTTCATGCGCCTGCCTCAGCTGGGGAGCCGGCCAGCCTCGGGGGGTGGCGCACTGTCCTCGCCACTGGCCCCCGCCGCTCCACCTTCTGGCCCTCCCTGGACCTGGAGCTGGAGATAGCTGTGGGGTACAGACCACAGACCGGTGTGTCTGCCTCCTCAAGTGTGCCTCTCCAGGGGGTCCTGGGGTCCCTCCCACCCTCGAGGAGGCAGGGACACTGGTCTGTGGTTCTGTCTGGAAGGCAAATTAACTTGACAAATGCAAACAGGCTGAAACAGCGGGATTCATTAGGCAGAAGCTGGACCGCATTTCCTCCATGTGCTCGCTTGTTTCGTCAGCAAACCCCACTGAGGCTGGGAGGCCGGGGAGCGAGGTGCTAAGAGGGGGCCTGTTCCAGCCTTCCATCCACCTATGCGGCCTGCGCCAGTCACCTGATCTCTCCTTGTCCACTTTGCTATTCAGTGAAAGAAGAGTAATTACAAGCACCCTCTTATCAGATGAGATAAGGCCCATAAAACACTCAGCCCAGGGCCCACACCCTCTGGGAGCCTAAGCCTCAACTTCAGTACAACTTGGAGGTGACAAAGGGGAGTCAAGAGCCGATGCAGGAGTTCAAATCCTGTGTGTCTCAGGCTAGCACTGTGCACTTGACCTTGGGTGTGTTTGATCACCTCTATGCCTCAGTTTCCTTATCTAGGAATGAGGACAGTAATGGTGCCCAGCTGTCAACAGTGGCTGACCCAGGGGAACAGTAGTTGATGTTACGATGATCACTCCTGACAGCAGGTCCAGGCAGCTATGGGAGACCTACTAGATGCTGGACACATGGCTCTACAGGAGGGTTTGTGCACTGGATGAGTTCATTATGGGGAGATCGATATAAAAGACGGTAACGGCCGGGCGCAGTGGCTCATGTCTGTAATCCTAGAACTTTAGGAGGCCGAGATGGGTGGATCACCTGAGGTCAGGAGTTCTAGATCAGCCTGGCCAACATGGTGAAACCCTGTCTCTACTAAAAATACAATAATTAGCCGGACATGGTGGTGCGTGCCTGTAATTCTAGCTACTCAGGAGGCTGAGGCAGGAGAATCGCTTGAACCCAGGAGGTGGACTTGCAGTGGGCCGAGATTGTGCCATTGCACTCCAGCCTGGGCAACAAGAGCGAAATTCCATCTCAAAAAAAAAAAAAAAGCAGGTAAAGGTGTATTTAGGATTCCATGTCAGGGGAACATCACAAACAGGGTGACCCAGGGAGACCCTTGGCCTCTGCAGACCTCAGTCCCTTAGGAAGTAAAGCTAGCTCATCGCAAAGGGACCTCCCAGTTAAGACAGACTGTTCCAGCATTGGCGTGACATGGTTTTGCTCATACCCACCATTTTAAGAGATTCTCATTGTGACAACCTCTCCTTTCCAGAACGGAGACCATCTAGAACACAGTCAAGAACAACATAGAAAGAAAGACACCTCTCTGAGCAGCCAAAACAGTTGTCACCAGGAGAGTCCCATCCCTAGATCGTCTTTACTCTCCATTTACATGGAATTCAGGAGAGAGAGCCACAGTTTGACCATGAGGTAGAAGACAGAGCAGGCAATGTAAAAACCAAAAGGGCACAGCAAAGTGAGGATGCTGGAGAAGGGGCAGGCTGCCTGGCCTGCCTCAATATTCCCCTGTTGCAGGCAAATAAAACGGCTGAGATAGCAAAATGCACCCCCGTGAGCTCCCAGGGGATCCCTTTCCCCACCCAGGGCTCAGGCTGGTCCCCCTCTTCCCAGGCTCATGCCTCCCAGCTTCCTGGCCATGCTTCTGCTTTCTCTCCACTCCTCCCCCTGCTGCCATCCGACAGCATCCAGGCCAAGGCCCCGGGCTCTGGAGTCTGTGGCCCTTTATCGCTACCTTCTTCTCATCCTCTACTCCCGTCCAGACAGACAGCCCTTCTGGACAAAGCCACACAGGGCAGATGGATACTTTCAGAAAACCATGACCACCAGTCTCCCCAGACGGCTGCCCTTCATCCCTCATCACCTCCAGGTCTTAGCCCATTTGTCACTTCCCAGCGAGGCCTGCCCTGACCATGCCACTTAAAATACCAAACCCACACCCTCCTCTGCTTCCCTTTTCTTCACTGCACATTACCTTTTAGAGTGTATGTGTACTTTAAATATTGATTTTATTACGTCATCTAACAGCAGACACGGACTTTACATATTGATTTCATTACATCAACTTATAGCATCTACATACTTTACATACTGATTTTGTTGGTTATATTATAGCACATGCATACTTCATATACTAATTCATCTACTATGCTTCTCTCATCTAGAATGTAAGCTCCATAAGGACAGACTTTTTGGTTGGTTGGTTGGTTCACAGATTAACCCCAGGGCCTAGAGACATGCCTGGCACATAGTACACGGTGATATCTATTAAGTCCATGAATGAATAAATCAGTCCTTGAGATGTGTCACTTTCACCCACCTCCCTATTTCAAGCCTTCCCCGCCCTCTTCAAACCTCCACCCCCCTCCCATCATCTTCCTTCTCCAGGTTCACACTCCACAGGTGTATCCTTACCTCCTATTCTCAAAAGAAAAGGAAGCTGACAGAGAAGAACCTCTGCTACCTGCTGCTGGCTAAGCCTGAGCCTCCTGGTGAAGGCATGGCCAGCAGCAGGTTGCACACCTCTGCTGTGTAAGATGTGCAGGAGGTTGTACATCTTGTCTGGCAGTTCACCTTTCTTCCCCGATCTAGGCCCATTCCCCCAACTGTTTGGTTTTTTTCTTTTTTTTTTTTTCTTTTTGAGATGAAATCTTATTCTATTGTCCAGGCTGGAGTGCAATGGCACGATCTCAACTCACTGCAACCTCCGCCTCCCAGGTTCAAGTGATTCTCCCACCTCAGCCTCTCGAGTAGCTGGGATTACAGGGGCCCGCCACCATGCCCAGCTAATTTTACTTTTTTTGAGATGGAGTCTCGCTCTGTCGCCCAGCCTGGAGTGCAGTGGCACGATCTCGGCTCACTGCAAGCTCCGCCTCCCGGGTTCATGCGATTCTCCTGCCTCAGCCTCCTGAGTAGCTGGGATTACAGGCGCCTGCTAATTTTTTGTATTTTTAGTAGAGACAGGGTTTCACCAAGTTGGCCAGGCTGGTCTCGAACTCCTGAGTACGCCCAGCTAATTTTTGTAGTTTTAGTAGAGACAGGGTTTCACCATGTTGGCCAGGCTGATCTCCAACTCCTGACCTCAAGTGATCCACCCGCCTCAGCTTCCCAAAGTGCTGGGATTACAAGCATGAGCCACTGTGCCCAGCCCCAACTGTGTTTTGGATCCGACTCCCTCTTGCCTCTTCAGGAAACATAAACCGTCACCTTTCCCTTCTCTCTCACACACACAGCCTCTTCCTCTTGTCCCCTTTCATCCCAACTCCTATCCTAGTTAACATGCTCAGACTGCTCCCCTCTCTGCAAGCCCTCCTCCAACCCCACATCTCCCTAGGTACTGTCTCTCCCCAGCTTCCATGGTGCTGCCTCCCACTCACTTTTCCGTCCACTCTGCTGCATCTTCTTTGCCCTGTTATCCCACCAGGACGCCCACGCTAAGGCCACCTAAGTCTGCCATATTGCAAAATCCAACTCATGTTGGATCCACCTCTCTCACTAGGCCCCTCGGCAGGCTTGACGGAGTTCACCGCATCTCTTCCACAGCCCTCTCTTCCTTTGACTTTCCTGGCAGCACATATGCCTGGTTTTCCTCCTCCAGGGCTGCCTCCCTTTCATGCTTGCCCTTCTCCCCCCCCTCATTAAAGCTGGCGTTCTTCCAGCTGCACTTGGGCCTTCTCTCCTCTTACTTCGCTATCTCCCTTGGTAATCTCCCCCAATTCAATGATCTGTCTTCTCGGGGGGAAATGACTCCCAAATATATATCTCTAGTCCCCACATCTTCTTTGAGCTTCTGACGTGTCTATCCAACCGCCCACCCCACATCTCAGATTGCTCAAAAGCACTTCAAACTTAATGGTGTCTAAGATCAAAGCCATGATATTCCCTCCCAAATCCAGTTGTCTTCCAGGAAATGATGCTTTCATCTACCCACACGTGCAAGCTGGAAATCCAGTCACCACTGTCACCGCCCACTCCCCTGACCCCATTACCTAATCAATCCATCACCAAGTGCTCTTACTTTTAATTCTCTCCCAAATCTTGCTACTTCTTTCCCTAGTCCAAGTCACCATCATCTTAGACTGGCACAGGGGTCACAAATGTGGGTTTTCAGCCTGCCTGAGAGCTGGCCGGTGGTAATGAATTCTAGGGAGAGACGACCTTTTCCCTCCTGTGCAGGACAAAGGTCAGAACACACTGGTCTCTTCACTCTCCCCTCCTACATGACAGGTTCATTTCTCACTGGCCCTTACATTGAGAGTGCAGTGCTTTAGGGTTTACATTTTGCGTGGCCAACTCCTGTTGGACTTTTCACTGGGGATGGGGGAAGCCCTGCCTTTACCTCTGGCCTCCTGAGTCCCACAAGCTGTCAAACAGGGGCTCACTGTCATAGGGGTCTGACCCACACCTGCACACACACATCTGGCTCTGGTGCTTGTTCACCTCCATGAACACTGCTTTCACTCTGGGGAACTCAACAAATGCCAGCTCAGAGATGCATTTTTTTATTTCAAGTTTATGTTTTTATTTTTCAACGAGTTCAGCCTGTGCTTTCCTTCTGTTGTTTTCAGAGGCAAAGCACCCGTTCTGCCACAGCACCAGGGCAGGGGGTGCAGAGACTGCACTGCAGGTAACACCATTCTTACTTCAGAGCTCCTGCTCTGCGCCACAGTCCTCACAATGACCTCCACCTTTCCTGGTGGCCCAGAGCACACACAGCTCACACCACCCGACGGTCTTTCAGGAGAACACAGCTCTCCTAGACAATCTAACAAGGAGTGTATGTATGCTGGCTTCAACTCTTCAGAGTGGCCATCACTTATTAAACTGCAGCTAACAACTCATTAGCAGGTCATGAGACCAGTTTAGTGAATCGTGGACAGCATTAAAAAAAAAATAGAAGCAAACTGAAAGTATAAGAGTGGACCACAGAGTAAGGGTTGATTGAACTTTTATTTTGGATAGATGGATGAATGAATGGATGATGGACAGATGGATGGATGGATGATGGATGAATGGATGGATGATGGATGAATGGATGAATGAATAAATGATGGAGGAATCGATGGATAGATGGCTGAATGAATGGATGGATGAACAGATGATGGAAGGATGGATAGGTGTAGATGGATAAGTGAGTAGGTAGGTAGGTAGATGGATGTACTAGATAATAATTCATAATGGTAAATACATTTTTACTGTGAGTCACAGCCCAAAAATGTTTAATGTAAATTGCACTGCATATAGTTATGGTTAGTCCCTGAGGACGAGGGTGATGTCTTCTTTCTCTCCTATTCTCTCACTGAACTTAAAAGCAAGCTTGGCTCACAGGAGGCTCTCAGTAAACACTGAGAGGCATTATATTAACTGAGTTTCTGGAGATGATGAGGAAATCATTGGAAAACTGGAGCCTGAGAGGGCAGCGTGGACTCCTTCTCTTGGAACTGAAGCCTGTGGGTCCCAGCAAGCTCTGTCCCTGGACCATGCCAGGATTCAGTGAAATATGGTTTTGCTTGGTGCATTGCCTCAGAAGGAGCCAATGAAGGTGAGGGAAGGTGCCAGGTATGACTTCCTGTTAGGGTCTCCCTCTGCCCTCATTCTGCCCACTTTACACCCCCATGGCGTCAGGCCTGGCCCTCCGGTACCTGCTCCACAGCGGGTCAACAGGCCTAAAGCACCTCATTTATTGTCTGATCAGAAAGCTGCCCTAGCTCCACAGAGCCTAAAGGACATGTCTCGATTCCTAAGCTCAGCATTCAAGGCCCCCACAACCTTCCCAATCCCCTGACTGGCATCACCCCCATGAGCCCCTCCACGAAAGACTATGCTTGGGCCTTGCCTACTTAGTCCCTGTCCCCCGAAGACCTTTTAGCTAAATCCCCTCCTCCATGGTGTCCAGAGACTTGCCCCAGGATGGCCTTCCCAGCCTCCACCACACGCCACACTGGAAAATGGTCTTAGGTGAAAAGCACATTCAGGGATATCGGAGGGGACTTGAGCCCTGGATGCATCTGCTCACTGCCCCAACCACCCAGCAGCCAGAGTACCAAGGGGACTGGTGACCCTGAGCCACCTTGTGGGAAGGTCAGCCCTAGAGGGGTCCTGACCAACCAAGACTCTCTTCAAGCCCCCATTTTCAGCCCACAGGTCCCAGGTTCACCAATCCCCCACTCCCCAGCCCTGACAGCTCTGCCCCTCCCTGGTACCTAACACAGCTGCCTGGCCTTATCTCCTCCAGTCTTTGACTCCCCTGTCTGCCCCACCCCTGCCTCATCGCGGTACCCGGCACGCGGCTGTCAGCACACCCAATAAGTAGGTGCAGACGGATTGATGGACAAGGAGATGCCAGAGCCCAGCTGGGAATGAGGCTCTGTCTGGCTTCCATCTCCCATCCACGCAGGGCACTTGGTGACAGTGTGCGGAGAGTGGGGGGACAGGTTGAGGTCAGGGAGAGGCAGCGTCTGGGGTCCAGCCACCGAGCCCTGCAGGACACCTACCCCCTGGAAGTAGCACATTGTTGTCCTCCTTCCAAGCCCGCTCCTGCCAGGACACAGCCTGAGAACATCGCAGACACGTGATCTGGCCAGACGGGGCCCCCACCACTTGTCTCTGATGCCCCATTATGAGGTCTATTTGAGCTTCCTAGGCCTGGGGCGGTATCTCACCACTAAAATTTATGCAAATGAAATAATGAGCAATTTGGGGAAAGGAATGAAATGCTGCGCAATGATCCAAACCACCCCAGACACCCGCCCAGGGGGTTTTCAAGTTGAGCAATCATTCTGAAGACAACTTAAAAGTCACTCACTGGAAAAAAGACACGCCGGGGATTCTTGCAAACCAGCAGGCCCTGTGGCTTCAGAGGCCCGCTCTCACCTCATGGTGGGACAGGGAAGGCTGGGCTGGGGAGGGAGGTGGAGCACATCTGGTTGCCCACTGCACTTCAGGACTGGACCAGCGGGATTTTGATAGAGCCCGCCCTGAGCTCACTGCAGGCACGTGGGCCCTGGCCTGGCCATCCCGAAACATCCACCTCATTCCTGAAATCAGGCACAGGGAAAACACCAAGTCCAGCCGGGAAGGCCGGAAATGCCGGAAGTACCCAAGATGCCCGTCAACAGTTTTATTTTTTTTTTTTTGAGATGGAGTCTTGCTCTGTCACCTAGACTGGAGTGCAGTGGCGCGATCTCGGCTCACTGAAACCTCCACCTCCCAGGTTCAAGCGATTCTCCTGCCTCAGCCTCCCAAGTAGCTGGGATTACAGGTGCCTGCCATCACACTCAGCTAATTTTTTGTATTTTTAGTAGAGACAGGGTTTCACCATGTTGGCCAGGCTGGTCTCGAACTCCTGACCTCAGGTGATCCACCCACCTTGGCCTCCCAAAGTGCTGGGATTACAGGCGTGAGCCATTGTGCCAGGCCGCCGGTCAACTCTTACAGGTAGAGACACATGCCCCCCTCCACGGATAGGGCACTCTGTGCTCTGTTCATTGGTTCATTCATTCACGCCACAATCTTCACTGAGTGTCCACCCCATGCCAGTTCTGTTCTAGGTACTGGGGACACCTCAGGAATCAAATATTCGCTCAGCAGACAGTCACTGCCCACCAGCTTCGCATCATTACTGGCATGGGGTGGGGGTGGGAATACAGAACAAACAGGAGACATGGTCGCTAGTCCCCGGGAGTTTGCAGCCTGGTAGGAGTGGGAGACGATGCATGAACAAAACTCAAATTCCAGGCACTGACAACATAGGATGAAATGCAGAGACTATTTCTAAGCCAGCCATCAGAGAGGTCTTCATGGAGGAGGGGTCATTTGAGCCAGGTCTTAAAGCATAGATAGGAGCAGGGTGTGTGGAGGAGGGGAGAAAATGAAATTCCAGGCCAAGAAAATGGCATAGGAAAAATTGAGAACACCACCAGGAATCCTGAGAGAGGAGTCAACTTCTGTATTTTTCTCAACAATCCACACACACCCCTTTTTGTGCGCTGAAGTGATGGGGGCTGACTGTCAAGGCCTTCCCTCTTTCTGCCACGAGGAAGGAGCTGGGCAGGAGTGAGGAAGGAAAGGTCTGAACAGGCTCCGACTGCGAAGAGCCTGAAATTGTGGCAGGAGGAGAGGTGAGGGCTTGACCTCTGGTCCTCTCCACAGTGTGTGTTCCCAGCTTGCAAGGCTAGGGCAGGGAGGAGGAATTCATAAAGACCAATTTCTTCAAAAAAATAATAAAAGGATGAAGCGCACACACACAGAGAAAGTATCATGTTACAATCTGATAAAGCTAGGAGCTGGCACACAGGCGTTTGTTACACTATGCTCTTTTTTCTTTTTTTTCTTTTTTTGTTTGTTTCTTTTTGAGACAGAGTCTTGCTCTGTTGCCCAGGCTGGAGTGCAGTGGTGCAATCTTGGCTCACTGCAGCCTCTGCCTCCCGGGTTCAAGCAATTCTCCTCCCTCAGCCTCCTGAGTAGCTAGGATTACAGGCGCATGCCACTATGCCTGGCTAATTTTTGTATTTGTTTTAGTAGAGACGGGGTTTCACCATGTTGGCCAGGCTGGTCTAGAACTCCTGACCTCAGGTGATCCACCTGCCTTGGCCTCCCAAAATGCTGGGATTACAGGCGTGAGCCACCACACTCAGCCACACTATACTCTTTTCTTAACAGTGTTATTATCGTCTACTCTGAACCACTTCAGAATAAAGTAAAGCTAGGCTCCGTTTGGTTTGGTTTTGTAAAGACTGAGGTGTGCAGGGCAGCATTTGCTCTGCTGCCCCTAGCTGCTGGCCTGTTGCTGGAGCATTTCCTGCCCACTCTTGTCAAGCTGTGACTCAGTTTCCCCTGAGTGGGGACTGACTCTAGGAAGATTCCAGAAAGCAGCCTGAGTCATCGCACCAGGGGGACACGAGGAAATGGGCTTAGAGCTTCCCAGGCGGGAGTGAGGAGGATGGGTGTCGAGTTTGAGTAGGCACGTGCACACATGTATGAGTGAGCGTGCGCACACAGACACGTTTGGGGTGGCAGTGTTCATGCTGCCCTCTGAGTATGGGCTGTGCTCAGTCGACATGTGTGAAGAGGAGCTCAGGGAGTGAATGGTGGACTCAGGGCTAGAACCCTGGTCTCCTAAATGCCCCTTCCAATGCCCTGGAATGCTGGAAGCCAGAACAGATTGCCAGGAAAGGGCTCTAAGGACAAGTGCCCCACCAGGCCTACTCCAGGGAGCCCTAGAACCTCAACCTGGAGATGAGACAACAGCTTAGAAGAAGTAAGAGTCCAGTCTCTACAGAAAAAGCAGAGGCTCCACACACCAGCTGAACCCAACAGTGCTGGGCCATCGTGACAATTCAAGGGGAAGCCAATGGGCTCCAAGAAGCGTGGATCTCAGCCAATCCTCTGCATTCAGAACTTAGGAGAGTCTCATGGTCAAGAGGACTAAGTGGTTGACCCCGACAGTGGCGAATGAACTATTGCTGGGAACAGGAGACAACCCGAGAATAGGGGGAAGGACGTCCAAAGGCTCAGAGGCCAGAGGAAGCCGTGCATGAGAACAACGTTAGTGTGGTCTGGTTGGCAGGATGGCTGCAGGGGAAGCAAGAGCCAGACACAGGTTCAGGACTGTGCAAAGAGGTGTTGGGTCTGGGGGACACATTCAGACCCAGGTGGCAGCTGCTCTCAGACACTTTCCAGCAGAACAGTGACCCTCCTGTAGCCAGTAAAGGGCAGCCCAGACAGGAGATGGGAAGAACTGGCAAGGTGAGCAAAGACAAAGGAATGGGGTAGAGAAGGGAGGATGGGCCGGGAGCATCAGGGGCTGGGGGACAATGTGCCTTACCGGGCCCTCGGTGTGGATGGGGACACCCGTGTCCAGGTACAGCACTCGGAGAATTTGGTCTGGGTATGGGGGTTGGAGGTGTCAGCTGCATGACAATGGGGGTGTCCATTCAGGAGGCAGCACCCCCTGGGTCTGGAACTCAGGGACAGGCCTCCCAAACAAGACTATTGAGTTCTGGAATAAGCTTTCTCACCTTTCTCAGGACCCAGAACCAAAAGCAGGGCAGGAGGAAGACGCTTTATTGAGAAGTCCTGGTAGGTTCATTTCCAGTCTGCAAATACCTAGAAAACAACAGCCATGGAAAGACCCCAGGCCTGAGGCTTAAACTCAGCGGGCTCTGTGATGCACTGACTGTCTCTGCATGTTCACTTCGCACCTAGAAGGGTCCCACAGGGCAATGAGCAGCCAGCATCTGGGCCCTGAACATTTGGAACCCCTGAAAGCTCAGGGCCGCCCAGAGCAGAAAGACTGTCTATTCTCATGGTTCTCTGCCCCGGCTGCATGTTAGACTTACTTGGAAAGCTTTTTAAAAAGTGTGGTCCCCACCCCAGAGACTCTGATTAATTAGTGTGGAGAGAGGCCCTGACGTGAGTAGTTCTGTTAAAGTTCCAGGTGATTCTAATATACAAGGACCATGCTCCCAATCTAGTCAATCCCTGATTTTCCAGTGAGGTCCAGAGAGAGGCAGCTGCAACCCCAGCCGGGCACAGAAACCGGAGGGAGTGCTCTGGGGGGAGAGAGGGTGAGCACCCAGTTATCACTAAGAGGGGTTGGCAAGAAATCAGTCATCTGGGGGAAAGAGGACAGCTGTTATTGGCCCCAGGAACAAAGGGGTCCTGGCAAACATATTCTAAGGGAATCCTGTTTATGAGATGAGTGGGGCTTTTAAACATTCAATGAGGGCCAGGTGTGGTGGCTCATGCCTGTAATCCCAGCACTTTGGGAGGCTGAGGCGGGCAGATCACAAGGTCAGGAGTTCAAGACCAGCCGGCCAACATGGTGAAACCTCGTCTCTACTAAAAATACAAAAAATTAGCTGTGCATAGTGGCAGGTGCCTGTAATCCCAGCTACTTGGGAGGCTGAGGCAGGAGAATTGCTTGAACTCGGGAGGCAGAGGTTGCAGTGAGCTGAGATCACATCACTGCACTTCAGCCCGGGAGACAGAGTGAGACTCTGTCTCAAAAAAAAAAAAAAAAAAAAAAAGGCTAGGCCCAGTGGCTCATGCCTGTAATCTCAGCACTTTGGGAGGCCAAGGCAGGCAAATCACAAGGTTAGGAAATCAAGACCATCCTGGCCAACATGGTGAAACCCTGTCTCTACTAAAATACAAAAAAAAAAAAAAAAAAAATTAGCTGGGCATGGTGGTGCGCACCTGTAATCTCAGCTACTCAAGAGGCTGAGGCAGGAGAATCGCTTGAACCCGGGAGGTGGAGGTTGCAGTGAGCCGAGATTGTGCCACTACACTCCAGCCTGGCGACAGAGCAAGACTCTGTCTCAAAAAAAAAAAAAAAAAAAATTCAATGAGAAGGTCCCTGCACAGAATGGAAGACCACGGCCAACTTGCTTTCCAGCCAGGACAAGAATTAAGCATGCGCCCTGGCTCCCAGCCCTGCATGGTCGTTACAGGTGTAGACACCACCTGCTGAGTAAACCTAAGGCCCCAGCTCAAACACAGCAAGTCGCCTGGGAGCAAGGAGGAGAGATGGCCCTGCTCCTGCTGGGCTGCCCAGATCCTTCCTCGGCAAGCCCTTAGGCGAGCACCTGACCTCCTGGTCTTGGCACAACAGGTCCTGTGAGTGAGAACCACAGCCAAACTACCTCTCCGGAAGCCTGGAGCTGCTTTCCCTGAGGCCTCCAGTAGATTCTTAACAGACCAAGGCGGTGGTGGCATCCGTCAGACTCCCCCAGGAGCAGCTGGCAACATGCAGTGTCAGAGATCCCTGACAGGGAAAGGAGAAGGACTAGATAGTTGCCCAGGCTTAGAAGCTGGCAGGGCTCTCGGTGGCTCGCACTGGGTGAAGGTGTGGTCAGCCGTTAAGGTGGAGGGGAGGAGACCTCATCCCAGGTTGTGAGCGTCTACAGTCCGTGGAAGGTTTTGGCCAGAATGCTTAACCAACAGCATTTCAGATATTCCTGGAGTCAGGCTGGGCCACACTCAGCTCATTTTGACCCTCAGTTAAAGGGAATTTGGTATTATCAGTGTGGACGTGTCATTCTTTTTCTTTTTTGAAACAGAGTTTCTCTCTTGTTGCCCAGGCTAGAGTGCAATGGTGCAATCTGGGCTCACCACAATCTCCACCTCCTGGGTTCAAGTGAATCTCCTGCCTCAGCCTCCTGAGTAACTGGGATTACAGGCATGTGTCACTGCACCTGGCTAATTTTGTGTTTTTAGTTGAGACAGGGTTTCTCCATGTTGGTCAGGCTGGTCTTGAACTCCCAACCTCAGGTGATCCGCCTGCCTCAGCCCCCCAAAGTGGTGGGGTTACAGGCGTGAGCCACTGCGCCTGGCCGGACGTGTCATTCTTTTCCTTGCTGATTTATTAAACATCCAGGACAGCCTCATGCCAGACACAGTGCTAGGATTAAAGGGCACAAAGATGAACAGGGTGTGGCAGCTGCACGTGAAAAGTTCATATTCTAGCAAAGGAGTAGGCATGAGAAAGGGAGTAGGTCCCTGCTAGAGAAGACGGATGTACAAGGTGTGCGCTGGGTAGAAGGTTCAAAGCTAGTGTGAGATGCATAGGAGTTTTCCAGGATGTCAGGAGTGAGGACATTCCTGGCAGGCGGAACAGCAGGAACAAAGGTTTGGAGGTGGAAACGTGTAATGTTCATGAAAGTACATGGCTTGTTAGTGGACAGAGTGACAGGAGAATGAGCCCAGAGTGTGAGTGTGATGGGTAGAGGAGAAGGTGCTCAGGCCACGGCCAGGTGACGAGGGACTGGATGAGTGCTCTGGAGAAACCACCCAGGAATCTAGCCTTTCAGAGGCCAAAGTGACATGGTCTAACTCCTGCGCGGACAGAGTATTGAAACAGAGGCTGAGACCACCAGTCATTCATCAAATGGGCATCAAGGGGCCTGGCTAACACAGTGAAACCCAGTTTCTACCAAAAAAAAAAAAAAATACAAAAAATTAGCCGGGCGTGGTTGCGGGCGCCTGTAGTCCCGGCTATTAGGGAGGTTGAGGCAGAGAATTGCTTGAACCTAGGAGGCAGAGGTTGCAGTGAGTCGAGATCATGCTACTGCACTCCAGCCTGGGCAACAGAGCAAGACTCCGTCTTAAAAATGATAATAATAAAAAAAAGCATCAAGGGCCAGCATGGCGAAACCCTGTCTCTACTAAAAATACAAAAAATTAGCCAGGCGTGGAGGTGCATGCCTGTAATCCCAGTTACTTGGGAGGCTGAGGCAGAAGAATCGCTTGAGCCCAGAAAGCAGAGGTTGCAGTGAGCTAATATCACACCATTGCATAGTAGCCTGGGCAACAGAGCAAGACTTCACCTCAAAAAAAAAAAAAAAAAGCATCAAGGGAATACCATGGCCGAAACACAGACAAACCGAGCACAGCCCAGCCCTCAAGCAGGGCAGAGGCTAGTGGAGGAGAGGCCAAAATGGACCATTTAAGAATAGGATACATAGGATGCACTTCATTCATTCATTCATTCATTCAGCAAATATTTCTCAAAAGCCTATGCGCCAGGCACAGGGGATGTGGCAATGAACAAAACAGACAAAAATCCCTGTTTCTCGTGATTGAAGAGAAACAATGAACACAGCGCATTAGGAGACCATAGAGTATATAAGAGGATGCTAAGTGTCATGAAGAAAAATCAGGCAGGAGGGAGGAAAGGGTATGCTGAGTGTTGGAAAAGGTGTTATGGTTTTCTACAGGGTGATCACGGAGCCCTTGTTGAGTCAATGACATGAAGGTAAAGAACTTAAAGAAGTTAAGATGTGAGCCATGTAGACACAGGGAGGAGTAGCATGCTTGTCAGGAGAGGAAACAGCCAGTGCAAAGGCCCTGAGTTAAGAGTGTGCCTGGCAGAGCGGAGAAAGAGCAAGGAGGCCATCACTGGAACACACACAGAGAATTAGGGAAAGTGCAGACGAGGGGTGTACACAACCCAGACTTAGGCAGAGGGGGAACAGAGCAAACTCCCTGGTGTAGGAGAGTCTGGCCTCAATAGCAACTTGAGAATAAAGCACTCGAGACTCAGAGAATCAAGAGAGAATGCATGTGATAGGTAAGGACAACCATCACGCCACCAGGCGTTGCAAGGTGGGGAGATGGTGTGGAGCTTGGGAGACCATTTAGATGTGGGCTGAGGGCCTGAATCAGGGTAGGGTAATGACAGAGGAGGAAGAAACCACTGGAGGGGTTCAGACCTGGGGCTGAACACCAGCACGTGAGGAAGAAGGAATTGTCTGGGATGACCCTGGGGTGTTTAGGGTGTCCAAGAGACGTCAAGGACCAAGGAAGAAACCCCGAGTGAGGGCAGGTCTGGAAGAACAGACATATCTGGCTCTGAGTGGATGAGTTTAAGGGGTGCCCAGGGGAAGGCTGCCCAGGAGGCAGCTGGCCACCCCAGGTGGGGCTTTGGAGAACAAAGAGGTCTCCAAAGAAGACTGTGAACTCCTGCAGGACAGACACGGGGCCTCTCACACCTGATCTTTAATCACCTCCCCCAGTACTCAGGAAAGGGAGGGAACAGGTGCATCATTCCCTGAGCAGTTATCACCTGTGAGCAAGGCACGGGACTCCTGCCGCCTCCCTTAGTCCTCAGGATGATTTCCACCTGACAGCGGAGGAGCAGGGACACAGAGAGCTGGCCTGAGGACCCATGGTGCTGGAGTGAAACCCATACCAGCCTCCTGCAAAGAATCTGCCCTGCTCCCTTCACCATCTGCCTCAGGAAGGTGAGAAACCCACACCTATGAGATGACTGCTGTCAACAGGTAGAAAACAGCGAGACAGCCACTGACTACCCTGACCCAGGTGTCACCAGACTCCCCTGCACGTGTCCCAGCAAGCCCTCGATGGCTTTCAGGCACCAAGACATAACTTCACAGGGTCCCTTATCACCAACATGCCAACAAGAAGCCACTCACAGATAAGGCCCCTTCCTCCAGATCCAATGCCTGGGAGGCTGGTAGAGGCCTACACACCATCACTGGCCTGGTGAACTCGCAGCTTTCAGACTCTGTTGGGCTGAGATTTTCTGTATTTCATCAATCCCGAGTTGCACACGTTCCCACACCTTGCCAGGTCTGGGACCACCAAACAGGAAGGATGGCTCAGGAGTCAATGGCTGCACACACATGCTCACACCTGCAGAAGGGGAGACGGCAGCCGGGAGGTCCAGAGAGAGCGTGGAACTCTCTTGCATGCTGAGTTATCCACATTCCAAATGGCACGGGAGGTGACAGTATGGAAAACACGGCATCCTTAACTGAGAAGCAAACGGAGATTCAGGGGAGGCAGACGCCGAGGGTGACATGCTTTTGGGGGAGATTCCTGATTTCATTTATACTTTCCTTATGACATACACAGAAGCTTTAGCCTGAACAGAACTTTTGATGGGATGAAACTCAGTCTGTCACTCAGAATGCTGGGGCTCAAAAGGACCATCTCCTCCCCAAGAGGAAAAACAATCAGGCAAACAAGAAGGACCAGTGAGCAGAGGCACTCAGACCAGAAGCCAGACGAAGACTCACAATTCAGCAGCTCAGCCGCTCCAGCTCCACCACCTCCCCTCAGCTGTTCCCTCTGCTTGGACCTGGGCTCTGGGGCCTTCCAGGTAAAGTACCTTTTAATGAGGCTGGAGGAGGCCCAGCCTCCCCAGCCACTCAGGAGCCTTGGAAAGAGCAATTCCCTGAATGGCGTCCCCAGCAGACCCCCTCTAAACCCAGTCCCACGCTGGCTTGAGTGTTTTTCAATTTCCTCAGGTCTGAGTTCTGCAAAGACGTAATTGAGGGTGTTAATCTCGCCCTCTCTTTTTGCTGGCCGAGGCAACGAAAGTGAGCGCTGCCTTGGATAGTGTTACCGCGGAGAGGGACTCGGGGATCACAGAGCCAAGCCCCAGTGCTGCAAGCAAAGAAACGCAGGCCCAGCCTTGGGTTACACAGGGCAGCATTGGGGAAAGAGCTGCAGGCCCCTTGGTTCATTTTAAAAATGCTCTTTCTTCTGTTCCACAGCACTTGGGATAAATGGCGAATGGGCTTTTTGCTTCACTCCAGGGACCATTTCTTTTTGTTCTCTCAGTGCATGGAAATCTTATGAAGATTCTGATTTTTGCCACACTCTGCACTCGGGTTGGGTGAACGCTGGCCAGGCGGCCCTGAGAATGGAGCCAGGAGGGAGCATTCCAGAGGAACCCCTCAGAATTGGCAAAGGGTCTCCCTCGGTACACCACAGGGACCCGGTATACCAAGGATCCTGGAGTTGTCTTCCTCTCACAGTTTGAATCCAAGGAAAACGACCAGGTGCAGCCTTCAGTTTAGACAGAAAAAATGAGTCCAAAAATGGTAGTGTGAGACAATGGGGCACGCTGGAGAAGATGAGGGCCAGTCTCACTGCTTTGCACCGGGACAAGGAGAAGTGCATGGGCCAAGCACAGCTGTGGGCTAGGGAAGCCCCATTTCTGTCCCTCCAGCTGGCTCCCTTGGCCCAGGGCTGGTTGCCAGAAGCATCATCATCATTACCCACCTCTCAACACCTCTCCCTGCTTCACAGGTGGAACACAGGAAGAGCAGAGGTCGGGGCAGCCTGGGATACTTTTTTTTTTTTTTTTTTGAGACAGAGTCTCACTGTGTTGCCTAGGCTGCAATGCAGTGGCATGATCTCAGCTCACTGCAACCTCCGCCTCCTGGGTTCAAGAGATTCTCCTGCCTCAGCCTCCCAAGTAGCTGGGATTACAGGCATGCATCACCACACCCAGCTCACTTTATTATTATTATTTATTTATTTATTTATTTATTTATTTTTCGAGACGGAGTCTTGCTCTGTCACCCAGGCTGGAGTGCAGTGGCGCAATCTCGGCTCACTGCAACTTCTGCCTCCCAGGTTCAAGGGATTCTCCTGCCTCAGCTTCCTGAGTAGCTGGGATTACAGGCGTGTGCCACCATGCCCAGCTAATTTTTCTATTTTTAGTAGAGACGGGGTTTCACCATGTTGGCCAGGCTGGTCTCGAACTCCCGACCTCAGGTGATCCACCCACCTCAGCCTCCCAAAGTGCTGGGATTACAGGCGTGCATCACTGTGCCCGACCAACCTAGAATACTTTTAGAGGAACTTGAGTTCTCTCTTCCTGCATCCTAGAATTAGCTCCAACCCAAGCCGCTCATGTCTGGCCCATCAGTAGAATCATTGGTGGTGGCACATGTTTTCTCAGAGGACTTTCTAGTTCCCCCGTCTGAGCTGCAGGAAGCCTGGGGTACCTGGTCACTTGCCTCTCCAGCCCCCTGTGCCCACTGTGGCTTTTAACACCAAGTGTGCCCAGTAGACACCGAGTGTGTCCAGGGGTCCTCAGCAGCAAAGCCTGGCCTCTTCTCTGCACCTGCCACCACTCCAACCGTCCTTCACTCCAGCCTGCACCACGCTCCCCAGTGCTACAAAGAGGGACCAGGCA